>NC_000001.11:178033071-178336102 GCF_000001405.40 Homo sapiens | reverse complement strand
TGCCCATTTTACAGATGAGGAAATGGAGACACAAGTTAAGTGAGTAACTTGCCCAAGGTCACAAAGTGGTAGAGCCAGAATTCATGCTTTAGCTGGCTCTTGGAGTGCTTTCCCTTAACCACTATGGTATACTAAACTACTCCAAATTTATCTTTAATTGGCATTTTGGGTTTTTTTTTTTCCTCTTCATAGCTTTCTATACTTTCCAAATTTTCTATAATAGTATTAATTTTATAAAGGAGCTTGCATATTGTTCCAAATTAGGTTTATCAGAAGCTATTGCTCTTTTCCTCAGTGTGTATTAATCCAGATGCAACAATGTATATATTTATTGGAACGATGTACTGAATTTTCAAAAGGACATTCCACTTATGTGCTTTTTCATTTGTTTCAGCAACTGGAGAGCCTGTATCACTCAGAATCTGAGAGGCAGCTCCTGACTTGAAAATGATCATTGTGTGTAATGTGTGAGCAGTTTCCAAACATCTGTGTCCGAGAATACGGAGGGGCCAGGGAGAGGAAGATCAGTGTGTGTGTCTGAGAGTGTGTGTGTGTTTTAAGGGAGAAGGGAATAGATTGAGTAAGGAAAGGAGAGGAACATATTCTCAGTATCAGCAGTCTGGCCCCAAATTTTGTGTTGTTTGGAAGAAATCAAATTCAAGAGAAAATGAGGGGCCCCTTTCCTCAGTTCAGCGGCTACTTATTTTCCTCCTCTATTTTTAAACATATTTAATATTAAATAGGCCAATGAATTTAATCAGACCCTATATTTTATATAAAGGAAGAAAGAGAAGAAAAACCAGTATTACAAATATATAGTCTTTGGTTTGTAGATATGCTATATTTTTTTTCTGTAGAATATTATCCTTTATCCAAACCTTTGAAAATTATGGTCCTGATTATTTTTTAAAAGAAAATAAATTCCCCAAAGGAAAATTTAAGTTCTTAAGGAAAAAAAAATTGATCTGTGGTACTTCTACTTATTACTTCTGATCCATTAGGATAGTGATAGTGACAAAAACAAAACTCTTTTATTCAATTATTTTTCAGGCTCCAAAAGGACAATCTTGTTATATTTTATGATACTGGTTATATTACATTTTTATTTCAAATATTATATTTTAAAATACATTTTTTTTTTAAATTTTAGACAGAGTCTCACTCTGTCACCACACTGTAGTGCAGTGGCGCAATCTCAGCTCACTGCAACTCTCCCTCCCGGGTTCAAGCGATTCTCCTGCCTCAGCCTCCCTAGTAGCTGGGACTACAGGTGCACAGCACCACATCCAGCTAATTTTTGTATTTTCAGTAAAGAAGGGATTTCACCATGTTGGCCAGGATGGTCTTCATCTCTTGACCTCATGGGTCCATCCCCCATCCGGCCTGCCTATTTTTTTAGAAAGATTATTTTTTAAAGTTCCTATGTAATGACATGCATTTTTTTATCTTTTAAAAGTTGTGGCCGGGTGCAGTGGCTCATGCCTGTAATCCCAGCACTCTGGGAGGCTGAGGCAGGCAGATCACCTGAGGTCAGGAGTTCGAGACCAGCCTGGCCAACATGGTGAACCCCTGATTCTATCTATTAAAAATACAAAAATTAGCAAGGCGTGGTGGCGCATGCCTGTAATCCCAGCTACTTGGGAGGCTGAGGCAGGAGAATGGCTTGAACCCAGGAGGTGGAGGTTGCAGTGACCCGAGATAGTGCCACTGCACTCCGGCCTGGGTGACAAGAGCAAAACTCCATCTCAAAAAAAAAAAAGAAAAAAAAGTTGCAATAAATGAATGATTTTTTACCAAGTATAAAACATTGTGGACATGAGAAACAAACCAATAAATAATCATTTTTAGTTTTTGAAAATCTCATTAAATAAGAAAAATAACTTTCAAGAGGTTAAAAATTCCCTCTAAATTTCTGCACATGCAGTAAAAAATTATTACTAGTATTAAAAAAATTCAACACGATAAGAAATGAATTAGGTATTATACCCAGAAAAGGCAAAAGCAATGTTATAAAAAGCATGGAATTACGCAAGGCCTATAATCAATTCATGATCAATTCCAAAACAATGATCCCACAAAGAAAACACAATGTAGTTCAAAAACACAAATACTACATTCAAAGACTGATTTACTGTTGCTTTAAAAACAAGCCAAGTTTTTCTGTCTACCACAAGGGTTAACATATTTTCTCTTGGCAATAAAACATGATATCTAAATTTATTACTGCTGAAACTACAGACAAAATAAATTACTACTAATGAAAAACTGAAAAATCCTCTAGGAGAAGTTTGTTTCAGTGAGTAGAGAAGTAATTCTAAGAAAAGATAATTTGTTTTTTAGTATAGTCAAGAATTATGATTATTTACTATTATGATTATACACTATTTTGTAACTTATCTTCAACAGTAGTTACTATCAACAGGTAAATGTGCCCCATGGGTAAAGTAAACTCAGCATATGGCTTGGGTTTTTGAACTCATTTAAAACTAAATAATGTATCTAACATGCTGGTCTTAACCCATTTATGCCAGAGGTTGCAATTTTTTTGTTTTGCAAAAAAATCAGACTTTGGTGATGACCTTGAGCAATAGGATATAAATAACTCCCAAAAGTTTAGTGTTCCAATAATGGAACACTAGGCATAAATGGGTTAAAATGTCATATTGACAAAAAACAAAAATAGGTGAAAAATAGCTTCACCTCAGTAAAGTCTAATATTTGAGGGATATTTTATGGATGACAAAATTCAGAGAATAAAAGAGATATTAATAAATCTGGCCGGGCGCGGTGGCTTACGCCTGTAATCCCAGCACTTTGGGAGGCCGAGACGGGCGGGTCACAAGGTCAGGAGATCGAGACCATCCTGGCTAACACGTGAAACCCCATCTCTACTAAAAATACAAAAAATTAGCCGGGAGCGGTGGCGGGCGCCTGTAGTCCCAGCTACTCGGGAGGCTGAGGCAGGAGAATGGCGTGAACCCGGGAGGCGGAGCTTGCAGTGAGCCCAGATCGTGCCACTGCACTCCAGCCTGGGCGATAGAGCGAGACTCCGTCTCAAAAAAAAATTAATAAATAAATAAATCTGATAAGGAAATATTCATTAGTGACTAAAGGCAGATTCAAACAGCCACTATTACATTTCTCAAGGCCACACAGAGAAATTAGACAGGAATATCTTTGTATAAGAATTGGAGACAATTTGGCCAGGCGCAGTGGCTCACGCCTGTAATCCCAGCACTTTGGGAGGCTGAGGCAGGCAGATCACGAGGTCAGGAGATCGAGACCACGGTGAAACCCCGTCTCTACTAAAAATACAAAAAAGAATTAGCTGGGCGTGGTGGCGGGCACCTGTAGTCCCAGCTATTTGGGAGGCTGAGGCAGGAGAATGGCGTGAACCCGGGAGGTGGAGCTTGCAGTGAGCCAAGATCGCGCCACCGCACTCCAGCCTGGGCGGCAGAGTGAGACTCCGTCTCAAAAAAAAAAAAAAAAGAATTGGAGACAATTTTTTCTCCCTCATACAAGGAAATAAAGAATGGTTTCCATCTGACTGGCAAAGTGTCAGGCCACAACATTGATTTTGAGAATACAGGTTTTTTGTTTTGTTTTGTTGTTCTTTATTGCCTAGGCTGGAGTGCAGTGGTGCAATCTCGGCTCACTGCAACTTCTGCCTCCCGGGTTCAAGCGATTGTCCTGCCTCAGCCTCCTGAGTAGCTGGGATACAAGTGCCTGCCACCACCCCTGGCTAATTTTTTTGTGTGATTTTAGTAGAGACGAGGTTTTACCATGTTGGCCAGGCTGGTCTTGAACTCCTGACCCTCAGGTGATCTGCCCGCCTCGGCCTCCCAAAGTGCTAGGATTACAGGCGTGAGTCACTGTGCCCGGCCGAGAACATAGGTTTTTCTGTAGAGAAAATCTAGGCTTGAATTAGAAAAATTCTATTACTAGTGGGCTATGCTTTATCCTATACCATCATTTATTGCATAATTAAAATCATAATCCAAAAAACATTTAAAATTTACTAAAATTTTTATGACACGTTTTAAATTTTACATATCTATACATGTAAACTGAAATTAATGAGAATATAATCAATTGAATAATGCTGAAAGTATATTGTACACTCTTTTTGACATTTAACTGAACTCAATATTTATTGAATGCTATTAAATGCCAAAAATGTTCTTTGTATTGAAATTCTTTAAATGATGCATGAAGTGGCTGGGCATGGTGGCTCATGCCTGTAATCCCAGCACTTTGGGAGGCCGAGGCAGGCGGATCATGAGGTCAGGAGTTTGAGACCAGGCTGGCCAACATAGTGAAACCCCGTCTTTACTAAAAGTACAAAAAAATTAGCCAGGCGTGGTGGTGGGCGCCCATAATCCTAGCTATTCGGGAGGCTGAGGCAAGAGAATCACTTGAACCCAGGAGGCGGAGGTTGCAGTGAGCCGAGATCACGCCACTGCATGCCAGCCTGGATGACAGTGCGAGAATCTGTCTCAAAAAAAAAAAAAAAAAAAAAGATGCATGAAGTTACATCTCTAAGAAACATGATTATTTCACTCATCACAGTTTGTCCTATGATTGCTAATAGCAACAAAAACCCCATATAGTCTCTTTTTATGTTTTTAAATAGATTACTACACATTTTTCCTCCACTAAATAACAGTAAAATAGACAACTTGACAAATAAATTTATTTTTATAAGGGCATAGGGATTCAACCACTGACAATGTCATAGGACACGGGAGTATAGAACGCTGCCTCTTAGTCACGTGTGGTGCTGCGCACCTGTGCTCCCAGCTACTCAGGAGGCTGAGGCGGGTGGATTTGCTTGAGCCTAGGAGGTTGAGGCTGCAGTTTGCAGCACTGTATCTTGGCCTGGGTGACAGAGCAAAACCCCGTCTTAAAAAACAAAAATAAAAAATAAAACAGAACTCTGCCTCTTTTGCTCACCACTTCTAAGGTACTACATTAGCAGACAGAAGAGCACAGTGGTTAAGAGGACTGACTTTAGGGCCAAATTCCAGCTATGCCATTTACTACTTATGGTGTCTTGGACAAGCACTGTCTCAGTTTCATTAATTGCTGGCAAACAAACAAAGAGGCATAATAACAGTACCCACCTTATAGGGTTATGTGAATAAATATTTGCAAAGTGCTTAGAACAGTACTTGGCACAAACCACTACATAATATTTTGTTAAGTAAGATAAAATAAAAACAGTATTCCGGGGGAGAGGCACTGTTATTAAATGCCAAACATATTTATTGTATAGAAATTCCATAAATGAAGATGAAAGGTGAAAAAAAGGAAAATGAGAGCGATTTTTATCATTCACCCCCCATTTGACATAGTATTTTTTTCCCTCAAAAACCTTACCTCTTTATACACTGCTCCACTCACTAGGACCCACAAGCTATTATTGATCAGACTCTCTGAAATCTTTTTCTTTTCCTTCCATTTACAGAAATGTTTAATTCTTTTACCAGAGAACATTTTTAATCTGTTATTTCATGACCCAGACTACAGCCCACTGCAACTACAATTATGTGAAAAAGTCTATAACTTTGTCAAAAAGAACTCCACTTTACCAAGAGTACTGTTCACTGTTCAGTCTTTTGTTCCATCCACAGAGAATATGTATTAGAAATAAGACACTACATACTCTATGTTGTAATCATAGACACCTTGGTAAAAAAATGCAGACATCATAAATCACCCAAGGAGAGATATAAATAGAATACTTTAGTGAAATAATTTCTCAGGTATGCAGGACAGTAGCTTGCAGAATCTTAGATATATATTACAAGCAGAACCATTAAGACAAAATAATACATTACTTATGTTACTCATATTATGATCTAGCATTAGCCCAATCTTCCAAATTTATCGAATCAAACAATTTTGAGAAAAGATTTGTGCAGGTCTTACTAGTCATCTGATAACACTGCTGTAACACAGTGGAACTGTAATAAACTAGTGCCTTAACTTGAGCATTCAATAATATTTATCCTTCCCCCTACCCCTACTAATGGCTCTGATTAAAGCAACTTAGTCAACAATATAATTAACCAAAATTTACTGAATGTATACTTATTATTAACTTATAATACTAATATATACCAGAGCCTTCCATCCTTTTACCCCAGTTTGGACTGGATGCTCACTCAGTCAGCTACATAGCTGCCATCCAGAGACTTCCTTTCACCAAGATTCTGGGGATAACCTTTGTCTTTCTCTTGTCCTTTTTTTTTTAAGAGACAGGATCTCGCTCTGTCACCCAGGCTGGAGCACAGTGGTGTGATCATAGTTCACTGCAACCCCCAATTCCTGGGCTTAAGCGATCCTCCTGAATAGCTGGAACTTCAGTCTGGGTCCTTAATTTACCCCTTCTTATACTTGACAGATACATTAGCTTGGAATATAATTTCAGTTTAGACATCATGTTCACTTGGAATGATATTTAGACATCACGTTCACTTGGAATTTTAAGGGCACTGCTCCAGCGTCTCAGCCTCTAATATTACTATCAAGAAGTCAGATGCTGCTCTCATTCAAATCCTTTAGAGAGTATTTTTTGTTTCTGCTTTAAATCCCTGAAAACTTTTAGAAGGGTCTCTCCCATTGTGGATGTTCTGAAATTTCCTGAAGATGTGCCTTCAAGGGGGTTGTATTTATTTACAATGCTGAGCACTTCACAGGCCTATTAAATTGGAAATTCACAGGCCTATTAAACTGGAAATTCAAGGAACTCAAATGTCAGTTCTGGGACATTTTCTTTCAGATCTTCACCAAATGTTCCTTAATCAGTGAGGTCTTCTCTGATGATCTCATATAAAAGTAACATTCCTTTGCTTCCTTCTCCACCCACAGCACTCCCTACATCTTTTACCTTACCTTTTTTCTCCATTGCATTTATCACCATGCGGTATATTGTAAAGGTGTTTGCTTTGCCAGTCTAGTCCCACCAGAATGTAAGTTCCCTGAAGGCAGAGGCTTTTAACTGTACTGCCGGCTATTTTTGAATGCTTTGTTCAACAGGCCAGAACAGTGTGTGGCACATAATAGGAATTAAAAAATATATATTTGAGGAATGAAAGGCTGTACTCCCTAGGTTAGGCAATTTGCTAAGTCAATCACTCTGCGGGGCTCTGAATCAGGGAACAAATATAGCTGGGGAGAGGAAGAGAAGAGAGACAAGGTCTCACAGCTGCCTGTTAGTATTTATAAGTCACTCATAACCCGAAATACCCTACTGGTAATTGTGATTTGTATAAAGCAGTAGGAAAATACCATGGTAAGGTGGATTTAAAGTCATACAGACCTGGGTTTGAATTCTGGTTCTGCCACTTATTTGGCATCAGTACTCTTCTCTATAAAATAAGGGTACTAATAATACTTGTTTCACAGGACTACTGCCAGGAATAAATGAGATAATATATATCCAGAACTTAACATTGTCACTGTTTTGTCATCATTATGTCTACCTAGTTACATCACTTATTGTTTCTTTACATTTATAACTATTCTTTATTTTTATTCTAAAAACATAAAGAGATGAATTTGAGATGGCAATTGGTGATACTAAGAAATAAGAATTACAGAATAAGTAAGATCTAATATTTGATAGCACAACAAAGTAACTACAGTCAGCAACAATTTGTTGTACCTTTTAGAATAACGATTGGAATATTCATAATACAAAGAAATGATTAATGCTTGAGGTGATAGATACCACTTACCCTGATGTGATTATTACACATTATATGCCTGTATCAAAATATCTCATGTACCCCATAAATATATACACCTACTATGTACCCATACAAATTAAAAATAAAAAAAATTTAAAAAGAAATAGGAATAAGAGACTCACAATTAAAAAGAGCAGATTCATGGTACTGTACACCAAAAACGTGATAGGAGATGAGATAGTCTGTATAGCAGAAAAAATAACCAGATGTATCATTTCCCTAGTGCTACCATAAGAAATTACCACAAACAGAGTAACTTAAAAAACAAAGGAAATTTATGCTCTCATAATTTTCTGGAAGTCAGAAGTCCAAAATCAAGGCATAGGCAGAGCCACCCTTCCTTGGAAGTCTGCAGGGGAGAAGACCTGCTTGCCTCTTCCTATTTCTGGTGGCTCCTGGCATTCCCTGGCTTGTGTCTGCTTTACTCCAATCATTGTCTCTGTCTTCACAAGGCCTTCTCCTCCATGTCTATGTCTTCCCTTTTTCTGTCTCTTATGAGGAAATTTGTCATTGGATTAGGACCCACCTAGATATCCAGGATGTTCTTATCTTGAGATTTTTAATTATACCTACAAAGACCTTTTCTCTAAATAAGGTCATTCTTGGGACTGGCCATTTCTATACTGTTTTTCTAGGTACAAGAACTAACAAGGTTGTCTTTCTGCCAATTATGCTTTCTGATTCAACAATGAACTGTGGCTGGGCACAGTGGCTCATGTCTGTAATCCCAGAACTTTGGAAGGCTGATGCAGGTAGATTGCTTGAGCCCAGGAATTTGAGACTAGCCTGGGTAATGTGGAGAAATACTGTCTCTATTAAAAAAACACAAAAAATTATTAGCTAGGTGTGATGGTATGTGCCTGTAGTCCCAGCTACTCAGGAGGCTGAAGTGGGAGGATTGCTTGAACTCAAGAGGTTGAGGCTGCAGTGAGCCAAGATCATGCCACTGCACTCCAGCCTGGGTGACAGAGTAAGACCCTTTCTCGAAATATAAATAAATAAAATAAAAATAAAATAAACTGTATTTTATTAATTATATTCTCCCTGGTAAATTAATAATTTTCTGTTATCTAAGATTCTAATTTAAAAATACTTTATAGCCTGAAGAATGTTACTTATAATCTAAATGAATATTAGGAAATACTATAGTTTTAAAAAGCTACTTAAGAGGACCTCCATGGGAGCAACTAAATTTGTATATACACACATACTGAAATGTTTTAAGAGTTTGATGATTTTAAATTTCATTCAAAATAGAAAAGAAATGCTAAGTTAGAATGAGATTGTTCTATTTACCTGGACAATATTACTATATGAAACTTGTCCTTTATTAAGAGCCTTTCAATATTTATATTGTAGCATGGTTTAAACCATAGGGATAATGCTATTTTTGATTGTCTCCAGAAAGAACGAATCATCACTTAAAACGTGATAAAAAGTCGGTAAGAGAAGATAACATAGGTAAAATGGGAGAAAAAGGGGGTTATAGAAAGGAAAACAAAATTGGCCAGGAGTGGTGGCTCACCCCTGTAATCCCAGCACTTTGGGAGGCCGAGGCGGGCAGATCACCTGAGGTCGGGAGTTCGAGACCAGCCTGACCAACATGGAGAAACCCCATCTCTACTAAAAATACAAAATTAGCCGGGCATGGTGGCACATGCCTGTAATCCCAGCTACTTGGGAGGCTGAGGCAGGAGAATTGCCTGAACTTTGGAGGCGGAGGTTGTGGTGAGCCGAGATTGTGCCATTGCACTCCAGCCTGGGCAACAAGAGTGAAACTCCATCTCAAAAATAAATAAAATAAAATAAAAAATTAATTAGATATTTTCTGAGACATAAACTTTTAGTACAATAATCAATTCTGAAATAGCAGAGCATTATTATAAATAAAATGTAAATAGTATACAATAAATTTTGAAAGACACATACATACTAAAAGGTGACTTCTTAGAGTCTAAAAACATTTCTTTTGAAAATCCACTTATTATTCTCACTTATGAGGGATAATTATGAGGGAGGTAGATTTCTGCTAATGAAATTTTGAACCTATTCTCTTATTCCCTGATGGGAACTGATACCATATACCTTTGATATATGATTCATTCTTTCTAATGTGGAAAACATATAATCCAGCCTTTTACATGGGTACATGAGATTCTGCAAAATTAATTTTTCTTGGGAAAGTTAAAAAAAATTCTTATTTATTTATTAATTCATTTCTTTATTTTTAGAGGCAGGGTCTTGCTCGCTCTGTCACCCAGGCTGGAGTGCAGTAGCATAATCGTAGCTAGTGTAGACTATATAGTCATAGCTATATGTAGAATCAAACTCCTGGGCTCAAGTGATCCTCCCACCTCTGCCTCCCAAGTAGCTGGGACTACAGGCACACACCAACATGCCTGGCTAGTTTTTTTATTTTTTGTAAAGATGGGGTCTCATTATGTTGCCCAGGCTGGTCTCAAACACCTGACCTCAAGCAATCTTTCTGTTAAAGTGCTAGGATTACAGTCATGAGCCATGGTACCCAGCTAATTTTAACTTATCAACTGCAGTAACACATTTAGTTATAAAAGCTCATCTTTTACTGTAACTCTATACTGTATCAGTGATGCCAAGCCTTATTAGAAGAGGCCAAATTTTCTCTTTTCTCATATTCTGCATACAGTTTCTTTCAGGGAGCCTATCTACCACTATGAAACTTTCTAGCTTTTAGTGGCTACTCCAAGGCTATTTCTATCCAACTGTTATATGCACTGCTAATGATATTCTGCTTTTAAATGTATTTTTTTCTCTTCTTATTTTAAGTCACACCCAATGTATTATCTCATTAGCTCTATCCCTAGCTCATCTAGTTCCTAATACATATATCTGAATGAATACTTCTCTACAATTCCTACCTTTAAAAATTAATTACAAAAGATTTGTTTAAATAAGTTTTTGACTCTTCGGTGGCACTACTCTGATTAAAGTGGGAGGGAAAAAACCTAAAGGCCTTTAAGAGGAAAAAATGAACTGATAATTATCTTTCCTCTATTACTAGTTCTCTTTCTAATTCACTCGCTTTTACTTCCTTCTCATCCTGTGAATTCATGTTCTAGACACTATTTTCTACCTTGAATTTTTCCTATGTTATTCTCTACTCTTCAGAGTTAGAAAGAACACGTCAAACACAGACAAAATAGGAATGTTGTAAGGAGAATTTTTTTAAAAAATGAAATGAATGGAAGCTTCCTGTTGTGCTATATTAAATATCAATCAAAATGAGGAAACATGTTAACATGCAAATATCTGAAGACAACAGGAAAAGAAAATAGGCTTTAAATTTTACAGAAATAAAAGTAACCAGAACAATCCAATGAACACAACAGCTTTATGAGAAACTAGGGAGCTTTCTTGGTTAAGCATTGTTACTAGAGAGACCAGTTGGCAGGTGGGTGCCAAGGGGGTCATAACAAGCCAAAAACTTCATTCCTTGAGGCAGTTAGAGTCTGTTTCGCACATAAAATTAAACTAGATTTTCCACCAATCTGATTTATAAATCCTTCTGCTTGAAATGTAAACTTAAAAGGCTTTGGTAAACAGCATAGCCAATCTTGGGCTACCTAAAAAGAGAGCCATATGCACATGTACAATTAAACGATATTTAGCTAATTTTGCTCAATTTATCTGAATTACTTATTTTTCCTTTCAGAAAAGGTTCTGGGCAGTCAAGGGCCTAGGTCAAGTCTCCAAATATATTTCAAGATGCATTGTAAACAAGCCCACTCCCATCTTTCTACCTTCATTACATAACAGACTGGTGAATTATGACTATACTTTAGAAGAAAGGAAGTGCAAGTGAAAATGGAAAAAAACAAATGGGCAAAGTCACAAGATACAGAGATAGAATGCTTTAAGATGTCACACCTCAAATTTCTTTTCTTTTTTTTTTTTTCCTAGAGATCGAGTCTTGCTCTGTCACCCAGGCTGGAGTGCAGTGGTGTGATCTGCAGCCTCAAAATCCTGGACCAAAGCAATCCTCCCACCTTAGCCTCCCAAGTAGTTGGGATTACAGAAGTGAGCTACTATGACCAGCTTCAAATTTCTTTAATAGCTTAAACCTGTCCAAGCAAGATGAGAAACATAACACCTAGTCTATTATCTCACTGGTTCCATGATTTTATGAGTCAGAGCGAACTGAAGTTTGGCTCAAATCAAAGTTTATGTTATTGCTCCTGCATTCTTCTTTTGAATCATAATAAAAATCTCATCCAACAAGGAAGCTGAGGTTCAGAGTTAATGATGAGAGCATATGGAATTTGAATCCAGGTTAAGACAACTTCAAAGCTGGTGCCATTTTCCACTACCCAGCACAGTCACTGGTAAAGGTATCCTTCCAGACAGAATGTGTTCTAGTTACGGGTATGCATTTTCTTTCCTGAAAAAGTAAACCCTCTATCTGTGAAATAACTGCTAAATCTTCTTGTGTGGTTTTTATATACTAATTAATCTCTTAACAACCTAATACATGTTTTTGTTATAAATAACCTAATATTCATTTTGTGAAATGCAGCAAAAAGGATAAAATGGTCATTTCCTTTCATTAAGATACTTCATTTTCTCTTATCATTCTCTATAAATATAAGAAATTAATAAAAGTGATTTACTATTAATAAAATCTTAAAAATAAACACAAATATCTTGCTCACTAACACAACTATGGTTATGATATTAACCAACAGCACGGAGTTCAGACCTGACATTCACAACCAAGTACACTTGATACTGTGACTTGTTAACTTGGACAATGGCATTTACCAACTTTGTATTTATCAAAACCAATAGTTGTGATTATACTGCTTATAGTCCTGTGGCTGTGCAATGATATTTAGTAATTCTCTAATTTCATTACTAAACGATTTTCTCTCAAGTGGGTATGGTTTTCCCTTCAGGATAAAAAAAAATTACCCACATCTAAGATTATTTTTCACTTTGACATGCTCCACCTGAAAGTCAAGAAAGAGTTTCTCTAGTATGTCTCATATCAGTCATTTGCTCAACAATCAGTCACTCACTCAGCCTGCAGTTATGTACAAAACAACCTGCTATGGTGATACCAAGGTGAGTAAGATACAATCTTGCCATCTAAGAGGTTCCAATCTAGTAAAGATGACACATACCAACAACTTACTGAAAACATAAGAACATACATCCAAATATCAGAAGTACAAAAAGTACTGTTTATCACAAACAAAAATGCTAATGAATTCTGATTAGTGAATGAAGAAAAAGATTGCCAAGAGTTAATATCTTATTGGTCCCTTAGGATAAATGGGATTTCTACATACAGAAGGTAGAAATGAAGGTGGAAAAACAGAGCAAGATATTCCAGGTTTATGCCCTATGTGAACAAAAGCCCATGTGTATTGAGAATGCCTAGGGAATCTGAAGCAGTCCTATGTGGCCAGAACCCAGAATACATACCTGTGGTGGGTAAAAAGAAAAAAGATGATCTTAAAGAGCTAACTCTCAGTCAGAATATATAGGACGTTTAGTGTCACTGTAAATTTGAACCTCATCTTATAGATCAGTGGAGATACAGTAAAAGTGTTTAAACAAGGAAAGTAGTATGATTCAATTAGTGCTCTAAGATGACAAAAGAGCAGTGAAATGAGTTAATACAGAAGGATAAAAATGGAAACAGGAAAAGATATATGAGTAGCTATTCAGATATTTAGGTAGAAATAAAAGAGTAATGTAAAGTTAGAATGACTAGAAGGATGGTGGTCATATTAACAGAACCAACCACCACATGAGAACAGGTTGTTGGGGAGGGAAGGAACAAAGAAGGGAAACTAATCAAAGATAATGGCTTCAGTTTTGAACATTCTAGTACAGACGACCAGTTGGGAATTCAGGTCTGGAACTGAGAAGAGACGAGGAAGCCAAAAATAGAGATTTAAAAGGTACTGGCCCAGGGATGACATTTGGAAACATGAATATAGGTGAAGTCAACTACTGAGAAAGGACAAAGCAAAAGAAAAAGGGTAAGGATAAGACCTTTAGACATCTGCATTTAAAAAGTGGGAAATATTTTAAAAAGTACGGTGAGGCAGGACATAAGCAATAGAGGAAAAAATGTCACAGAAGTCAAGAAAGAGAAGCTTTAAAGGGAAGTCGATCATTAAAAACCACGAAGAGAGTTAGAAGGTGATGAGGACTAAAGTTATGAAACTTGGCCAGATGCAGTGGCTTGTACCTGTATTCCCAGCACTTTGGGAGGCCGAGGTGGGAGTATCACTTGAGGTGAGGAGTTTGAGACCAGCCTGGGCAACACGGTGAGACCCCATCTCTACCAAAAAAAAATTTTTTTTTTTTTTTGAGATGGAGTTTCGCTCTTGTTGCCCAGGCTGGAGTGCAATGGCGCGATCTCGGCTCACCAAAACCTCCACCTTCTGGGTTCAAGCAATTCTCCTGCCTCAGCCTCCCGAGTAGTTGGGATTACAGACATGCACCACCTCACCCAGCTAATTTTGTATTTTTAGTAGAGACGGGGTTTCACCATGTTGGTCAGGCTGGTCTCAAACTCCTGACCTCAGGTGATCCACCCGCCTTGGCCTCCCAAAGTGCTGGGATTACAGATGTGAGCCACTGCACCCGACCTACAAAAATTTTTTTAAATAAAAAAATTATCTGGTTCTGGTGGCACATGCCTGTAGTCCCAGCTACTAGGGAGGCTGAGGCAGGGGAGGATCACTTGAGCCTAGGAGGTCAAGGCTGCAGTGAGCTATGATCATGCCATGCGCCACTGCACTCTAGCCTAGCCACAAAGCGAGACACCAGCTAAAAAAAATAGAAAAACAAAAAAGAAAAAAATAATGAAGTTATGAAACTTATTATCAAATCTCTGATAGTTGGGGGTAATTTCAGTGGCAAATAAAGCCAGATTTCAGGGTATTGAAAAAATTATTAAAAAATTATTGAGGCGGGGCGCGGTGGCTCACGCCTGTAATTGCAGCACTTTGGGAGGCCGAGGTGGGTGGATCACCTTAGGTCAGGAGTTCGAGACTAGCCTGGCCAACATGGGGTGAAACCCTGTCTCTACTAAAAATACAAAAATTAGCCATGCATGGTGGCAAATTCCTGTAATCTCAGCTACTTGGGAGGCTGGGACAGGAGAATCGATGGAACCCGGGAGGTGGAGGTTGCAGTGAGCCAAGATCAAGCCACTGCACTCCAGCCTGGGTGACAGAGATGAGACTCCGCCTCAAAAAAATAAATAAATAAAAAATTATTGTGCACAGATAAAGTACTTTTTAGAAAAGGTTGGTGAAGAATGGAGATAGCCACTAACGTGTCAAAACTTTCACAATCTGCTAAAAACCAGCTGATATACTGAAAACTTAGAATGTGCTTGTTACCGAAGAGGATGTTAACTGACTCAGTGAATGAGAGCTTAACTGGGAATAACTCAAGTGTGCCATTTTGGTTTTAACTTAGTTTCTAAATTGAGTAAATTTTACGAATTAAATAGTCATAATAATAAAGTGAGGGGAGGAGCCAAGATGGCCGAATAGGAACAGCTCCGGTCTACAGCTCCCAGCGTGAGCGAGGCAGAAGACGGGTGATTTCTGCATTTCCATCTGAGGTACCGGGTTCATCTCACTAGGGAGTGCCAGACAGTGGGCGCAGGTCAGTGGGTGCGCGCACCGTGTGCGAGCCAAAGCAGGGCGAGGCATTGCCTCACCTGGGAAGCGCAAGGGGTCAGGGAGTTCCCTCTCCCAGTCAAAGAAAGGGGTGACGGACGCACCTGGAAAATCAGGTCACTCCCACCCAAATATTGCGCTTTTCAGACCGGCTTAAAAAACGGCGCACCACGAGACTATATCCCACACCTGGCTCGGAGGGTCCTACGCCCACGGAGTCTCGCTGATTGCTAGCACAGCAGTCTGAGATCAAACTGCAAGGCGGCAGCGAGGCTGGGGGAGGGTGCCCACCATTGCCCAGGCTTGCTTAGGCAAACAAAGCAGCCGGGAAGCTCGAACTGGGTGGAGCCCACCACAGCTCAAGGAGGCCTGCCTGCCCCTGTAGGCTCCACCTCTGGGGGCAGGGCACAGACAAACAAAAAGACAGCAGTAACCTCTGCAGACTTAAATGTCCCTGTCTGACAGCTTTGAAGAGAGCAGTGGTTCTCCCAGCACGCAGCTGGAGATCTGAGAACCGGCAGACTGCCTCCTCAAGTGGGTCCCTGACCCCTGACCCCCGAGCAGCCTAACTGGGAGGCACCCCCCAGCAGGGGCACACTGACACCTCACATGGCAGGGTATTCCAACAGACCTGCAGCTGAGGGTCCTGTCTGTTAGAAGGAAAACTAACAAACAGAAAGGACATCCACACCGAAAACCCATCTGTACATCACCATCATCAAAGACCAAAAGTAGATAAAACCACAAAGATGGAGAAAAAACGGAACAGAAAAACTGGAAACTCTAAAACGCAGAGCGTCTCTCCTCCTCCAAAGGAACGCAGTTCCTCATCAGCAACAGAACAAAGCTGGATGGAGAATGACTTTGACGAGCTGAGAGAAGAAGGCTTCAGACGATCAAATTACTCTGAGCTACGGGAGGACATTCAATCCAAAGGCAAAGAAGTTGAAAACTTTGAAAAAAATTTAGAAGAATGTATAACTAGAATAACTAATACAGAGAAGTGATTAAAGGAGCTGATGGAGCTGAAAACCAAGGCTCGAGAACTACGTGAAGAATGCAGAAGCCTCAGGAGCCGATACGATCAACTGGAAGAAAGGGTATCAGCAATGGAAGATGAAATGAATGAAATGAAGAGAGAAGGGAAGTTTAGAGAAAAAAGAATAAAAAGAAATGAGCAAAGCCTCCAAGAAATATGGGACTATGTGAAAAGACCAAATCTACGTCTGATTGGTGTACCTGAAAGTGATGGGGAGAATGGAACCAAGTTGGAAAACACACTGCAGGATATTATCCAGGAGAACTTCCCCAATCTAGCAAGGCAGGCCAACGTTCAGATTCAGGAAATACAGAGAACGCCATAAAGATACTCCTCGAGAAGAGCAACTCCAAGACACATAATTGTCAGATTCACCAAAGTTGAAATGAAGGAAAAAATGTTAAGGGCAGCCAGAGAAAAAGGTTGGGTTACCCTCAAAGGGAAGCCCATCAGACTAACAGCGGATCTCTCGGCAGAAATCCTACAAGCCAGAAGAGTGTGGGGGCCAATATTCAACATTCTTAAAGAAAAGAATTTTCAACCCAGAATTTCATATCCAGCCAAACTAAGCTTCATAAGTGAAGGAGAAACAAAATACTTTACAGACAAGCAAATGCTGACTGATTTTGTCACCACCAGGTCTGCCCTAAAAGAGCTCCTGAAGGAAGTGCTAAACATGGAAAGGAACAACCGGTACCAGCCGCTGCAAAATCATGCCAAAATGTAAAGACCATCGAGACTAGGCAGAAACTGCATCAACTAACGAGCAAAATCACCAGCTAACATCATAATGACAGGATCAAATTCACACATAACAATATTAACTTTAAATATAAATGGACTAAATGCTCCAATTAAAAGACACAGACTGGCAAATTGGATAAAGAGTCAAGATCCATCAGTGTGCTGTATTCAGGAAACCCATCTCACGTGCAGAGACACACATAGGCTCAAAATAAAAGGATGGAGGAAGATCTACCAAGCAAATGGAAAACAAAAAAAGACAGGGGTTGCAATCCTAGTCTCTGATAAAACAGACTTTAAACCAACAAAGATCAAAAGAGACAAAGAAGGCCATTACATAATGGTAAAGGGATCAATTCAACAAGAAGAGCTAACTATCCTAAATATATATGCACCCAATACGGGAGCACCCAGATTCATAAAGCAAGTCCTGAGTGACTTACAAAGAGATTTAGACTCCCACACATTAATAATGGGAGACTTTAACACCCCACTGTCAACATTAGACAGATCAACGAGACAGAAAGTCAACAAGGATACCCAGGAATTGAACTCAGCTCTGCACCAAGCGGACCTAATAGACATCTACAGAACTCTCCACCCCAAATCAACAGAATATACATTTTTTTCAGCACCACACCACACCTATTCCAAAATTGACCACATAGTTGGAAGTAAAGCTCTCCTCAGCAAATGTAAAAGAACAGAAATTATAACAAACTGTCTCTCAGACCACAGTGCAATCCAACTAGAACTCAGGACTAAGAATCCCACTCAAAGCCGCTCAACTACATGGAAACTGAACAACCTGCTCCTGAATGACTACTGGGTACATAACGAAATGAAGGCAGAAATAAAGATGTTCTTTGAAACCAATGAGAACAAAGACACAACATACCAGAATCTCTGGGACGCATTCAAAGCAGTGTGTAGAGGGAAATTTATAGCAATAAATGCCCACAAGAGAAAGCAGGAAAGATCCAAAATTGACACCCTAACATCACAATTAAAAGAACTAGAAAAGCCAGAGCAAACACATTCAAAAGCTAGCAGAGGGCAAGAAATAACTAAAATCAGAGCAGAACTGAAGGAAATAGAGACACAAAAAACCCTTCAAAAAATCAATGAATCCAGGAGCTGGTTTTTTGAAAGGATCAACAAAATTGATAGACCGCTAGCAAGACTAATAAAGAAAAAAAGAGAGAAGAATCAAATAGACACAATAAGAAATGATAAAGGGGATATCACCACCGATCCCACAGAAATACAAACTACCATCAGAGAATACTACAAACACCTCTACGCAAATAAACTAGAAAATCTAGAAGAAATGGATAAATTCCTCGACACATACACTCTCCCAAGACTAAACCAGAAAGAAGTTGAATCTCTGAATAGACCAATAACAGGAGCTGAAATTGTGGCAATAATCAATAGTTTACCAACCAAAAAGAGTCCAGGACCAGATGGATTCACAGCCGAATTCTACCAGAGGTACAAGGAGGAACTGGTACCATTCCTTCTGAAACTATTCCAATCAATAGAAAAAGAGAGAATCCTCCCTAACTCATTTTATGAGGCCAGCATCATTCTGATACCAAAGCCGGGCAGAGACACAACCAAAAAAGAGAATTTTAGACCAATATCCTTGATGAACATTGATGCAAAAATCCTCAGTAAAATACTGGCAAACCGAATCCAGCAGCACATCAAAAAGCTTATCCACCATGATCAAGTGGGCTTCATCGCTGGGATGCAAGGCTGGTTCAATATATGCAAATCAATAAATGTAATCCAGCATATAAACAGAGCCAAAGACAAAAACCACATGATTATCTCAATAGATGCAGAAAAAGCCTTTGACAAAATTCAACAACCCTTCATGCTAAAAACTCCCAATAAATTAGGTATTGATGGGACGTATTTCAAAATAATAAGAGCTATCTATGACAAACCCACAGCCAATATCATACTGAATGGGCAAAAACTGGAAGCATTCCCTTTGAAAACTGGCACAAGACAGGGATGCCCTCTCTCACCACTCCTATTCAACATAGTGTTGGAAGTTCTGGCCAGGGCAATTAGACAGGAGAAGGAAATAAAGGGTATTCAATTAGGAAAAGAGGAAGTCAAATTGTCCCTGTTTGCAGATGACATGATTGTATATCTAGAAAACCCCATCGTCTCAGCCCAAAATCTCCTTAAGCTGATAAGCAACTTCAGCAAAGTCTCAGGATACAAAATCAATGTACAAAAATCACAAGCATTCTTATACACCAACAACAGACAAACAGAGAGCCAAATCATGAGTGAACTCCCATTCACAATTGCTTCAAAGAGAATAAAATACCTAGGAATCCAACTTACAAGGGATGTGAAGCACCTCTTCAAGGAGAACTACAAACCACTGCTCAAGGAAATAAAAGAGGATACAAACAAATGGAAGAACATTCCATGCTCATGGGTAGGAAGAATCAATATCGTGAAAATGGCCATACTGCCCAAGGTAATTTACAGATTCAATGCCATCCCCATCAAGCTACCAATGACTTTCTTCACAGAATTGGAAAAAACTACTTTAAAGTTCATATGGAACCAAAAAAGAGCCCGCATTGCCAAGTCAATCCTAAGCCAAAAGAACAAAGCTGGAGGAATCACACTACCTGACTTCAAACTATACTACAAGGCTACAGTAACCAAAACAGCATGGTACTGGTACCAAAACAGAGATATAGATCAATGGAACAGAACAGAGCCCTCAGAAATAACGCCGCATACCTACAGCTATCTGATCTTTGACAAACCTGAGAAAAACAAGCAATGGGGAAAGGATTCCCTATTTAATAAATGGTGCTGGGAAAACTGGCTAGCCATATGTAGGAAGCTGAAACTGGATCCCTTCCTTACACCTTATACAAAAATCAATTCAAGATGGATTAAAGATTTAAACGTTAGACCTAAAACCATAAAAACCCTAGAAGAAAACCTAGGCATCACCATTCAGGACATAGGCATGGGCAAGGACTTCATGTCCAAAACACCAAAAGCAATGGCAACAAAAGACAAAATTGACAAATGGGATCTAATTAAACTAAAGAGCTTCTGCACAGCAAAAGAAACTACCATCAGAGTGAACAGGCAACCTACAAAATGGGAGAAAGTTTTCGCAACCTACTCATCTGACAAAGGGCTAATATCCAGAATCTACAGTGAACTCAAACAAATTTACAAGAAAAAAACAAACAACCCCATCAAAAAGTGGGCGAAGGACATGAACAGACACTTCTCAAAAGAAGACATTTATGCAGCCAAAAAACACATGAAAAAATGCTCACCATCACTGGCCATCAGAGAAATGCAAATCAAAACCACAATGAGATACCATCTCACACCAGTTAGAATGGCAATCATTAAAAAGTCAGGAAACGACAGGTGCTGGAGAGGATGTGGAGAAATAGGAACAGTTTTACACTGTTGGTGGGACTGTAAACTAGTTCAACCATTGTGGAAGTCAGTGTGGCGATTCCTCAGGGATCTAGAACTAGAAATACCATTTGACCCAGCCATCCCATTACTGGGTATATACCCAAATGACTATAAATCATGCTGCTATAAAGACACATGCACATGTATGGTTATTGCGGCATTATTCACAATAGCAAAGACTTGGAACCAACCCAAATGTCCAACAATGATAGACTGGATTAAGAAAATGTGGCACATATACACCATGGAATACTATGCAGCCATAAAAAATGATGAGTTCATGTCCTTTGTAGGGACATGGATGAAATTGGAAATCATCATTCTCAGTAAACTATCGCAAGATCAAAAAACCAAACACCACATATTCTCACTCACAGGTGGGAACTGAACAATGAGATCACATGGACACAGGAAGGGGAATATCACACTCTGGGGACTGTGGTGGGGTGGGGGGAGGGGGGAGGGATAGCATTGGGAGATATACCTAATGCTAGATGACGAGTTAGTGGGTGCAGCGCACCAGCATGGCACATGTATACATATGTAACTAACCTGCACAATGTGCACATGTACCCTAAAACTTAAAGTATAATAAAAAATAAATAAATAAATAAAGTGAGAGGAAGCTGTTTTTAGTTTTATAAGTATCTGTGATGCCTACCACTTCAAATCAAATAAGATGTTACAACTAGTATTGAACAAGCACAGAAGCTTGCTTTACTTCACAGAGAAACACTAAAAATACTGAATCTCAGTCAAAAAAAATATTGTAAACATAATAATTTCCCCAATATTTTGGGGGAAAAAGAGATAAAGAAAATCTTACCATGAGGCCAAATAATAGAACATTAGAAAGTAGTTTGAATTCATAAAATGACAGTTTGAAACATAACACTTGTCCAATAACCCTGTAGATCATGTTTTATTTATTTCATTTTCATGCAGATCACTGGCAAATCTGTAATCTAAAGTAGGAAGCTGCGGTACTTTAAAAGCTGCAAGAGAATTATTTTGTTAGCCTAATATTTGCTAGGCTCACCACCAATACTACTTGGAAAACTGTAAAATAAAACGACTTACATACAGATAATTTTTCTTACTGACATTTTCTGAATTCTATTTATATGACACTGCAAGAGACACAGTAAAAATATTCCTAACCTAGGTATAAAAACTCCACTTTTGGATCTTCTCACGTGAGCAAAGGTTGCTGTGAGTCTACAAGAGACCTATGTGGAATTAATTCTTATGTATTTTACTATCGTGGTCCCTGGGTTTTGAATTCATCGGCAGAAATATAAACAATCAAAATGATACATTAAATCATAGGCACAGCATTTATGGTCTGCAGAAAACTTGTTCTTTAGCATTATTTCAGCTGAATTTTTATTTAACAAAGAGACAAAGAGAAGAAAATATCTTCTTAAAACATTCCTGAAGCATCCAATAGAGGTTGTTTTTATTGTCTATTAGATTATAATAATTTAACCTGAAAACGCCAAGAAGTTTTTAGTCTTGTTTTGTCAGATTCAATTTATCTTCCTTACCTTAGATAAGGAAAAACTAAGCTGTTTTAAAGGCTAACTTAATATCTTACTACAAGTGACTATAGAATGAGAAAAGACTTAGCTAATTTTAAAAACAGTATATTTTAGTAGTGTGAAACCCACCTGTCGTCATCAATGTAATATGCCCTCCCATTTAAATCCCTAAAAGCTAAGGAATTAATGCCCTTAATTAGCTGGGTGTGGTGGTGTGCACCTGCAGTTCCAGCTCCCTGGGAGGCTGAGGTGGGAGGATTGCTTGAGCCCAGGAGTTTGAGGCTGCAGTGAGCTGTGATCATGCCACTGCACTCCAGCCCGGGTGACAGAGTGAGACCCTGTCTCAAAACAGAAAAAAAAAAAATGTGCACACAGTTTAGAGTCAACTGGTTCTACAACTTGTTAAAACAAACAGCAATACCCAGCCCTCCTCTTTTAACACATTTCCTTCTGCAGAAGCAACCACTTTTACCTCTCTTAGCCAATTGTTTTGGTAGTTAACATCAAATATTGAATAATATTGCTTTGTTGATACTTTAAAATTTCTCTATTTTAGACATTATCTATTGACTTTCCACTATGAAAGATGAGAATGTGAATCCTTCCTCCTCCATCACCATCCCAGTAGGTGCATACATACTCCTATTCTCTCACCTTCCCTATATAGTTACATAATAATTTTGGTAAAGGCAAACAATATTATGACTATGTACGTTATTTAGACTCCAGCCACAGAGTAAATCCTATGTAGACTGTAGCATAGTGGTCAGGAGCATAGATCTTGAAGGCATACTTCCAGGGTTCAAAGCCTATCTTTGCCACTTAATGGCTGTCTAGCTATTTAGGCAAGTTACTTCACCTCTCTATGCCTCAGTTTCCTTATCCATAAAATATTCATTGTAACATTATCTACCTCTTGGGTTTACAAGGATTAAAAAATTCATATATGTAAAGTGCCCAATATGATAAAAAGTGCTATAGAAGTGTTCTCTTTGTCCTGAGCTACTTTTTTGTTTCTCTTATAGTGTTCTCTTGTATTATTCATTTGCTTAGATATCTATATGCTTATTGTTAATTCAACCACAAATGCGCTTCCTATTGTTTCCGCTGATTGAGTTAACTTATCAATTTTGTGTTCTTGGAAAGTCTCGCTACAGCCTTATCAGCTGCTCCAGTCTGAACTGGCTGTCTTTATTCTACATCTTGTACCGAGCTATTAAACTTGGTTCTGTCTTTAGCATTCTACTAAAAGTTCCCTTTTTCTCTCCCCTGTGCTAGATCTCCTGTCCTCATTCTTAGTAAAACATATCTTTCATTAGCTTCAGGAAAAATGATGTGTAGGAGGTAATCTTTTTTGAGTCTTGCATGTCTGAAAATGTCTTTATGCTATTCTCAAATTTGACTAATAGTTTACAGCTAAATATACAATTCTGGACTGGAAAAAAATTTCCTTCAGAATTTTGAGGGCATTCCTCATTGTTCTCTAGCTTCTGATATTGCTTATTGTAAGTCCGCAGCCTTTCTGATCCTTTGTATGTACTCCAATTTCCCTTTTTTTGCAGGTTTGTAAGACTGTCTCTTGTCACTAGAGACAATTTAGAATTTCATGAAATGTGACTTGTCATGGGAACTCAGTAAGCCCTTTCAATCTGGAAACACATATCTTTCAGTGGTGGGAAATTTCCTGAAATTATTTTGCTAGGGTTTTGCTCCCTTTCTTTCCCTTTTTCTGGAATTGTTGTTTTGATATTCAACTTCCTAGACTGGTCCTCTCATTATTTTATCTTTTTTTTCTCTCCACTTTCTATTTTCTCAATTCCATTTTCCAACCCTTATATTGAGTTTTATATTCTAATTTTTTAGTAGACAAAAGCTCAACTTTGTAAAACATTCTGTTCTTGTTTCATGTATGTAACATCCTATCTTTCTGAGGATATCAATCATTTTTTTAAAGTTTTCTGTTCCCTGCCTAGTCTCTACCTCCAAGTTGTTTTTTCCCTTTTTTCTTTTTCTTTTCTTCTTCTTCTTTTTTTGTATGTTTTAGTCTCTCTCTTTCAGGCTTTTCTTCAGATGTCCACTAATCTTGGGAAAGTTGGTATTCTTAGATCTTTCTTCTTGGGCTAAATACACCAAGGGGTATTCTACTAATCTCCTGCCTGTAGGGTAAAGGCAAGTGAGAGAAGAAAGGTGGAGGAGTCCCATCATTCAGCGTGCACATATTCACCTAATTCCCTCATATGTGGTAAAATGCCCTGTTCTCAATTTTGCCTAGTATCTCCCAATCCAAAGATACTTGGGCTTTTTTTTTTCCCTCCAAAGAGTATACTTGGAGTCTTATACTAAGGTGGAGGTATAGGTAGGAAGAACAGTTGTTCAGTGGAATGGGGAAGAGGAGGAGACCTGGGGATCTGCTACCACATATGTCTGGCTCAATTCCTGAGCTATTTAAAGATTCTGTGGTAAAGGTCAGCTTCATTTTTAGCCTTCTTCATAGCCAAGTTAAGATTTGGCTTTCTTAAGTAAGCTATGTCATTTGCCACACTCTATTTGCTTTTCAGCTTTCAATGTGTGTGTGTGTGTGTGTGTGTGTGTGTGTGTGTTTGTGTGTGTGTATGGCTGTTTTCTTCTTTCTCGTTCTCCATATCCTTGATGGATCATGTCTTTAAAATAAAACACCTTTAGTAGGTTTGGTGGAGTTTCTGGGAGGAGTATAATTAGATGCTTGTGTTCAATCTGCCATTCATCTCCTCCAGATGTCCAGGCTGAATCTAAAAATCATTCCTACTTCCCACCTGATTCTCCAACCACCACAGTGGTTTCCTAAGAACTTGGCCTTAGGGCTGATTAAGAGGAGCCTCTAGTGTGGGTATCACATTTTGGAGTACTCTACTCTGGTCTTCTTGGGCACCCATTTCCACAGAACTTGACTGTACAAACTGGGAACAGTAACCATGACAATAGCCTATACAAATGACTTCCACAAATTAGAAAGGGAGTCCTTTATTGAAGAAACTCTACTGCCATCTACTGGAAATTTTATGAAACAGCTACAAATCAGCGATAACAAGTGACAGGTAATTGGGTAACAGTTTGAGCAACCATAAGTGGCAGCACTGCCTTGGAGCCACCTTCACAGAAGTAAACAAATCTCCACTGTGCTAAAATATGGAAGATAAAAGAACAAATTAGGAATCCAAACTTCAAATTACAGCAGAATTGTGGTCTCGCACCTCAACTTAGAATTGAGAACTGATGTCCCAATCGAAAAAAAATGTTACTGCTAATCAAAATCTAGCTCATAAGAGTAACAAAAGTAACAAAATCAAACAGTAAAATTGATTTTAGTAGGTTAGCTTGAGAACTTAAGTACTAGTTTTTTTTTATTTTATTCATGTCAGTTTTGAGACCCAATTAACTACTTCCAAAAGAAAATCAGGAAAATGTTCAAATGTAAATGAAGTTTTTGCATTTAATTGGCTAATAATGCAAACTTCTTTCTAATGGGCAAATCTAACTATATCAGATTGGTAGTAAGGTCAGTTCTGTTATAATATTTGCTTTGAAAACTTTAATGTTCTACTGCAATTGATTTATTTTAGGTAACAATTTGCACATAACACAAAATCTGTGTTTCCTTATGCACAACCTTCACTACTCACATATCCTGTCTATCAATGCTATTATCATCCAGTAGTTTTATAGAAGATTCTAGCATCTTGAAAATATTTCACAAATTATCTAGATATTTCTAACAATGTCTTGGGAATAAAAACAGAGTCCTCACTAATTTACAAATTTCATCTGTAATAAACACTAAATGAACAAAGGAAACTCTACTCACCAAGCCATGTTGAATATACAAGATGTTCATATTCAGATACACCTCAAACATCTACCAGCTGCCTCAGTTCACTGCATGAGTGTTATTAGCCACACCCAACATGCCTGTTGTAACAACATTCTATCCGCTTTTAAATAACCCTCCTTCTATCAATTCAAAATACACTTACAAATTAGTCTGATGCCCTCTACCACAAGGAAACTTTAGGATTTTTTCAAGGTAAAGTGCTATATTCATTATAGTATTTGAAACCTAGTTTTATCACTTTTTTGTGTGTTACTGACCATGTTTTTGAGAGTAGTGCCCCTAACCACTTTGTCTCCACTTGCATAGTGTAGTGATTTTTAGGACTCTGTATGTCATATTATAACAGAACTGACTGTATATGGCTATTTTATCCCATAATCAAGCCAATTCTTCCAGAATATTACCATCAGTATTACCACATACATCCTTCCAAATCTTATTTCAAAGAATAAATATATAGTCACTCATGGTTTTTAAGAAAACCCAAAACTACTCAACCAAAACCTTGAGGAAGATTTTTCCAGGGTTTTCTACCTTAATTATTCATAATGATTTTGATAATTCTTGAGCTTATCTGAGTTCTCCTCAAATTACTTGCATATCACTGCCATCTATTAATGTGGAATACAAATATAATGCCTAGATATTATGCAGCTGTTTTAATGTGAGCTTTCTTATAGACAGTAGTCAAATAATCTTATTTTACAGGAGAGGAATAAGACATGACATTTTAAGGAAATTTCAAAGAAAATCAGTGGCTGCCATTATCCACTGAGCTCCAACTTTCAGAGCTAGAAATACCAGGATATTATTTTTTATAAAGATTTTGATCTTTATATGTATTAATATATCACCATAAAGTTCAAGGTCTGCTTCTGTTGGTTAAGTAAATACACACATTAATTTAATAGCCAATCTAAATATTGAGTACTACCATACACAGACATTATTTATCAGCATTTTTACTCTATTTTATAAAGGAAAGAATATATCTCTTATAATATTAAATCTTCATTATGCACATATCCTGTCTACCAATGCTATTACCATCCAGTAGTTCTACAGAAGATTCTAGCATCTTGAAATTATTGCATAAATTATCTAGATATTTCTAACAATGTCTTGGGAATAAAAACAGAGTCCTCACTAATTTACAAATAAAGTTAGAACTGAGGCTAATTTAATCTAACAGAAAGGGCCAGGGTTTAAACCAAGGTTTCCCAGCATGAGCAACATAGTGACACCCTGTCTCTAGAATAAATTAAAAAAAAAAATAGCCAGGCATGGTGGTGAGTGCCTGTAGTATCAGTTGCTTGGCAGGTGGAGGTGGGAGAATCAGTTGAGCCTAGGAAGTTGAGGCTGCAGTGAGTCATGATTACACCACACCACTGTAATCTAGCCTGGGCAACAGAGTGAGACCCTGCCTCCAAAAAAAAAAAAAAAAAAGCTAATGTTTGAATAATCAATATCTTTTATTAATTCTGATCAAAAGCTTTATCCTTTATAATATTTTTATAAATACCCTAGAGAACATATTCTACTTTAATATTAATTTTCTTCAAAGTTTTCTCAAGTTTTTGGTCACTCAGAGGTCAATAAACTTAGGAAAAGATGGTATAAAGTAAAAGGCTGGCTTTTCCTCAGAGTTTTCCAACTTAATTTCCTTTTTTGGTCTTCATGTATACAAACATAAAAATTTTAGATAGCTAGCTTTGACTCTAAAAGACTTTTGATACACTCTTCTCTAAGGCTTGCTAGAATATATCGGAGGCATACTATGTTAAATTATAATTTTAAATGTATTTACCAAATGTTTATAGGTTTTTGAGGACTCTAGGATAATAACACAAATTTACTATCACAGGCACAGTTTTTATAAAAATCCAGACATTCTGTAAGTAAGATGACGGGATAACTTTAATATTTTATTATAATATATTAAAATAGAGGCATGAGATCTCTGCAGCCTTGAGTTAGTAAATGTTTGGATTTGAATTTACCAGTTCAATCTGAACTTTCTGTTTGAGGACTGAGAAAGCCTCGGATTTACGAATGTTTGGCATTTTCTAATTAAACCAGCTTTATGAACATGTTTATGATGTTACATGCAAACAACTATCCTTGCTCATTTCAGGCTCATACTGTAGTTTGCCCATTTGGGCATGAAAACATGAACTTTACCGGAATGTCAAAGAAATACAACAAAAAGATTGGAGACAGCTCCAAATTCACCTTGTGCTATCCACCAGCCAAGCAGTAAGCAATATGCAATAACAGAGATAAATTTTCTTCCATAAATGCACAGTTCATAAAAATGTCCACTCTTCAGCTTTCACTTTTCCCCCTTCTCAGAGTTCTTGCAAGCTATTTGATAGCTTTGGTTTTTTTAAAAGAAGTTGAATTTGTAGGTTACATTGACATTGAAAATGACTATTTACTAATTTTAGTTCACACGGCCAACTAATATGCCTTCCAGTATTATTTGTATACAAAGAACCCTACTACCTCCTCTTGAAAATTCAGCAAGTCATGCTTTGCATGGTTTGAATCTAGATAGTCTTTTGATGAATAAATTAAAATCTGGATACTGTTACTAGGGGAAAATAGTTTTTTCCTAGGTTTTCTAAATCTGGAAGTGGGTACTTTAGACATGATGCACACATGCCTTAAGAAAACATCTCATTTTCAGTGGAAAAAAATTTTTTTTTTAAAAGTAATTAGTATATTTTATTTAAAAATATTTTTAGTATGAAAGAAATGCACATTGCTTAAGAAAATCTAGAACATACAAGCAAAATAAAGATAATGCTCATAATACGTTGATGTGTATAAGCAATCTTTATTCTGTGTGCATACTGTACCTTTTTTTAAAAAATGAAATAATGATTAGACTGCACATGCTGTTATATAACTTGTCTTCTTCGCAATTTATTTAGAACATCTTTTTCGTGCTTTTTTTTTTTCTTTTATTATTATACTTTAAGTTTTAGGGTACATGTGCACATTGTGCAGGTTAGTTACATATGTATACATGTGCCATGCTGCTGCACTGCACCCACTAACTTATCATCTAGCATTAGGTATATCTCCCAATGCTATCCCTCCCCCCTCCCCCCACCCCACAACAGTCCCCAGAGTGTGATGTTCCCCTTCCTGTGTCCATGTGATTTGTTCATCTGACAAAGGGCTAATATCCAGAATCTACAATGAACTCAAACAAATTTACAAGAAGAAAACAAACAACCCCATCAAAAAGTGGGTGAAGGACATGAACAGACACTTCTCAAAAGAAGACACTTACGCAGCCAAAAAACACATGAAAAAATGCTCATCATCACTGGCCATCAGAGAAATGCAAATCAAAACCACAATGAGATACCATCTCACACCAGTTAGAATGGCAATCATTAAAAAGTCAGGAAACAACAGGTGCTGGAGAGGATGTGGAGAAATAGGAACACTTTTACACTATTGGTGGGACTGTAAACTAGTTCAACCATTGTGGAAGTCAGTGTGGCTATTCCTCAGGGATCTAGAACTAGAATTACCATTTGACCCAGCCATCCCATTACTGGGTATATACCCAAAGGACTATAAATCATGCTGCTATAAAGACACATGCATACATATGTTTATTGCGGCACTATTCACAATAGCAAAGACTTGGAACCAACCCAAATGTCCAACAATGATAGACTGGATTAAGAAAATGTGGCACATATACACCATGGAATACTATGCAGCCATAAAAAATGATAAGTTCATGTCCTTTGTAGGGACATGGATGAAATTGGAAATCATCATTCTCAGTAAACTATCGCAAGAACAAAAAACCAAACACCGCATATTCTCACTCAAAGGTGGGAATTGAACAATGAAAAAAATTTGATGAATCAAAATCTATGTCAAATTTAGTATCCTTGGTAACTGTAAACTGCTGAATGCAACAGTCGGAGAACTCTTGTCAATAAGAAGTAAATTCTGTGCTTAAGCACTCCCTTCTTCTTCCCCATACACATTTGTCTCAATTTGCTTATTTGGAAACAAAATTCTGGATTTTCATCTTTCCTCTTTAGTTCTTCCTTTGCTAGTGCTACTTCATCTTCCTAACCTCTAAATGTTGTCCCAGGGCTTAGTCTTTGCATTTCTTCTGTCATACATTCTAATAGGAATGTCATTAAATCTCAGGGTTTTAAATATCATCTATTTGCCAAAGGCTTGCAATTTGTATCTGTAGTCTGTACCTTCCCCTTTATTTCCAAATTCATATATCCAACAAATTTCGACTTGGGGGTCTAATAATACCCTCAAACTTAACGTGTGCAAAAATTGAGCTGCTGGTCAATCACACTTTCAAACTAGTTTCTCCCAGTCTTCCCACTTTAAACAATAGTAACTTCATTCCTGTAGCTGTTCTAGCCAACATTCTTGAATATTCTATTTCTCACTTTCCACATCCAATCCATTAAGCAAATTCTGAGTTCACTGTAGGTGTGTGGATTTGTTTCTGGATTCTCTGTTCCACTGGTCTGTGTGTCTGTTTTTCTGCCTGTGCCGTGCTATTTTGGTTACTATACCTCTGTACTGTAATTTGAACTCAGGTAATGTGATTCCTCTAGTTTTGTTCCTTTTGCTCAGAATGACTTTGGCTATTCAGGGTCTTTTGTGATTCCATATAAATTTTAGTATTGTTTTTTCTATTTCTGTGAAGAATGTCATTGGTATTTTGATAGGAATTGCACTGGATTTGTCGACTGCTTTGTGCAGTATGGACATTATAACAATATTGATTCTTCCAACCCATGAACATGAAATATCTTTCCATTTGTTGCCATCCTCTTCAATTTCTTTCATCAGTATTTTATAGTTTTCATTGTAGCGATACTCACTTCTTTGGTTAATTCCTAGGTACTTCATTTTACTTGTGGCTCTTGTAAATGGGATTACTTTTTAAATTTCTTTTTTTCAGATTGTTCACTGTTAACATACAGAAATGCCACTGATTTTTGTATGCTGATTTGGTATCCTGTAACTTTACTGAATTTGTTTATCAGTCCTAACAGTTTTTTAGTGGAGTCTTTAGGTTTCTCCAAATATAAGATCGTATCATCTGCAAACAAGAATAAGTTGGCTTCTTCCTTTCTAATTTGGATGCCCTTTATTTCCTTCTCTTGTCTGACTGCTCTAGCTAGGACTTCCAGTACTATAACAAATAAGAGTGGTAAAAGTGCACAACCTTGTTGTGTTCCAGATCTAAGAGGAAACGCTTTCAGTTTTTCCACAGGCAAACGTTTAAGAAGAATTGTCTCCATTTGCTGTTTTGATTTCCTTATCACACTATCTTCTCAACTCATTTCAGTAGGGCTTCTGCTGCCACATACCATTAAAACTACAGTTCCTAAACTTACCAAGAACCCTAATGTCACTTAATCTAATGTGTGGTTTTTGTTTTGTTTTGTTTTTGAGACAAGGTCTCACTCTGTCGCCTAAGCTAGAGTGCAGTGGTGTGATCTCAGCTCACGGTAGCCTCAACCTCCCAGGCTCAAGAGATCCTCCCACTTTAGCCTTCAGAGTAGCTGAGACTACAGATGTGTGCCACCATGCCTGGCTAATTTTTTTATTTTGTAGAGATAAGGGTCTCACTATGTTGTCTAGGCTGGTCTCATACTCCTAGACATAAGTGACCCTCCAGCTTCAGCCTCCCAAAGTGCTGGGATTATAGGTGTGAGCCATCACACCTGGCCTAATGATTTTCGTTAGTCCTCATCCTAGTGGCCCTTTTGGTAGCATAAAACAGAGTTGGCTATATAGTTCTTAATCCTCCCTACTGTGTACTTTGTAATAGTATAGACCACTTATGTGACAGTACAATTTAGCTTGTTTTTCTTTGTCTTTTTAAAATTTTCTTTAAGTATAACACACATATGCTCAATGAATTATCACAAAGTGAACACACCTGTGTAATTCCTACCCAAGTCAACAAACAGAACACCACTGGCACTCCAGAATCCACCTTTATATTTCTCCCAATCACTATTCATGCCTCCTCCCCAAAAGTAACCACCATCCTAATAACTAACACCATAGATTAGTTTTAACGGTTTTGGAACTTGATATAAACGGAATCAGACAGGATGTACTAATTTGTGTCTGTTCCTCAGTGAACTCTTCGTTAAAATATCTGTTCAAGCCTCTTGCTCATTTTCTACGAGGAAGCATTTATATATACTAGATAAAAGCCCTTTGTTCATTATAGGTGTTGCAAATATATTATTCTACTCTGTGGTTTGCCTTTTCATTCTCTTAATGATGTACTGATTGACAGAATTCTTAATCTTAATATAGTCCAATGTATCAATTATTTCCATTACAATTTGTGTTTTTTGTATTGTTTAAGACAAACTTGTCCAACCCACGGTCCATGGGCTGCATGCAGCCCAGGATGGTTCTGAATGCAGCCCAACACAAATTCTTAAACTTTCTTAAAACATTATGAGATTTTTGCATGAACCTTTTTTTTTTTTAAGCTCATCAGCTGTCGTTAGTGTTAGTGCATTTTGGGTGTGGTCCAAGACAATTCTTCTTCTGATGTGGCCCAGGAAAGCGAAAAGATTGGACACTCCTGACTTAAGAAATCTTTCTTTATCCAAGATCATGAAAATATCCTACACTATTTCTAGAAGTTTTATTGTATTATCTCTCTTGTTCAGATCTTGGAATTGATATTGTGCATGGTTATAAGGTCACTATCTTATAGGTCAATTCCTCCTCATTCCCACCCCACTCCAAAAAGATATGTTATTGAGCCAGCACCAATGACTAAAAAGACTGTCTTTTCTCTCACTGCCGTGAGGGAAATGTCACACCAAATGTCCTTATATATGGGATAACTTCAAGACTCTCTATTCTATTTCACTATTCTATTTGTTTATTCTTCCACCAACACACTATTATACTTTGTTTTTTTTTGAGATGGAGTGTCGCTCTGTCTCCCAGGCTGGAGTGCAGTGGCTCAATCTTGGCTCACTGCAACCTCCACCTCCTGGGTTCAAGCGATTCTCCTGCCTCAGCCTCCTGAGTAACTGGGACTACAGGCACATGCCACCACACTCGAGACAGGGTTTCACCATATTGACCAGGCTGGTCTTGAACTCCTGACCTCGTGATCTTCCCACCTTGGCCTCCCAAAGTGCTGGGATTATAGGCGTGAACCACTGCGCCCGGCCTATTATACTTTTTAAACAGATCTTAATACTAGTAATTAAGTCTTCTCACCTTGTTTTCTTCTGCTGTGGCTATACTTGGTCTATGGCATTTCGAGATGAATTTTAGAATCAACTTGCCAATTTGTATACGTGTATGTGGTGGTAAGGATGGGGACAGAAATTTTGAAATTCATTGAAATTTTGATCTTAAAGAGAACTGACATTGTATTAAGTCTTCTAAACCATCATCATGGTATTTAGCCCTCCATTTGTTTATTTAAATCTTTTTTTCTTTTATGTTTTAAAGTTCTCTATGTAGAAGTCTTTCACATCTGTTATTAGATCTTTTCCCCTAGGAATTTGTTATCATGATGCTATATTAAACAGGATATTTAATTTTTTTTGTTTCCTGTTTATTGCTAGTATATAGACAATCAATTTTTGTACACTAACTTATATTTTAGTTTCTATGTATATTCATCCTATCTTGCTAACTACATAAAAAAAATGTTCTAAGAGCAGAAATCTTATACTTCTTTTCACTCTTAGCGACTGGCATAGAATGTTACATATACAGCAATTATTCAATGAAATACCTGACAGCAGAAATTTTGGCTAAAGACAAATCACTTGGAGATAACAATAAAAAAACAGAACAATTATCTAATTCAAGATTAGACTGGCATGTAAGGAAGAATGGCTCTAGAAGTAGTGTTTTTCCCTATAATATTTACGAGGATAGCTTTTAGTGCAAATTTAGGACATTTGCTCATGGACTGTCCATGAGTCAGAATGGCTACTGGACTTCTTGTTAAGCACAAAAGATAAGGACTGGCTCTAGACCAGACACTTTTGTCACCTTTAGTTTGTTTTTGGGGCCAGTACCTCGAACACTGTAGATATTTAACAATTTCCTATATAGTTCTCTCTTCTATAACACTGCAATAATTCTTGAGACTATAGTTGTACTTCCTCAAAATCTATTGACTTTTATGGGTCAAAACTTGAAGAGCGAAAGGTTCCTAGAAAATTGGTAAAGACAATAGTCAGGCTGGGCGCAGTGGTTCATGCTTTATTCCTAGCACTTTGGGAGGCTGAGGAGGGCAGATCATCAGTGGTCGGGAGTTTGAGACCAGCCTGGCCAACATGGTGAAACCCTGTCTCTATTAAAAATACAAAAATTAGCCGGGCATGGTGGTGCATGCCTGTAATCCCAGCTACTTGGGAGGCTGAGGCAGGAGAATTGCTTGAACCAAGTAGGTGGAGGCTGCAGTGAGCCAAGATCACGCCATTGCACTCCAGCCTGGGCAACACAGCAAGTCTCTGTCTCAGAAAAAAAAAAAGAGAGACAACAGTCAACATATCATTGCAAATAATGAAAGCAAAGGAACTGAAAGAAGGTGACTCTAAGCCAGTTCAATTTACATAGAACTTGGATGTGAAATATAAATAGGCTATAAAATGGTTACACCCAGACAGGTTTTTAGTAGAATTTAGGCCCACACCTAAACTGGTTTCAACACATGTTAAAGAAGTATAGTGGAAATAAGATGAGAGAAAAATCTGACTTCTCCAAGGTGGCTCCTTGGAAAAAAGTACTTGCTAACTCAACTAATTTCTAGGAAAGCAACAACTATTACACAATAAAAAGAAAAATAAAAGATTCAAATTCTGCCCAAAAGGATTCAAATTCCAGCCAAAAGCTCTGGGTTCCACTTAGAAATGAAGAAAAAGGCAACCCCCTCCAAAATCCCAAACCAAACCATGATTTTAGAAAACACAAACAAAATTACAGAATTATCCATACTGATCACCATAGAGACAATAAATGATTTCATCTACTTATCAAATGTCAAAAGTCTATGGTTCACTAAGCAAATAATAACACAACAATATAAAGCACCAAAACAATTCCTACTTTTCAAATTGCTTCATTTTTCTATTTAATCTTAATTATGTTCTTTTAAAATTACCTGACCAGTCTGATTATTTAAATATCCATTATTAAAAATGAAAACATTTAACAGAATACATTTGGTAGGGAATGGGAGAAGAGCTAGCTGCTTTGATATTGACATTAACTCCTTTAGTATATAACAATGGAAGTAAGGTTTCTTTAGTAACCTTACTGGAAAAATGGAAGTAGGATTTCTCCCTTTTGTCACCCACTCCAACCATAGTCCAGCATATGACTTTTATGAGACATGCAAGATTAACTTAGCTAAATTAGCCTGATCTAATATTACATCATATAAGACAACACCAGTAGCTACCTGAACAAGACACATCTAAACCACTTAATACTAAGTTCCAACACATACTGCTCCCTTATGAACCTCAGTGCTTCAACAAGATCACCAAATACTCTCTCAAAATCTACAGCTGAGCAATAAACCCAGAAGCAACACATTATCCCATCTGCCTAGGACTAAACAGCAACCTTACTAGTGCTCACATAAAGTCTTTCTCTTTAAAATAACTTTGCTGTCAGTTGGTTATAAAGAACAGAACTCTCTAATGACCTCTAACTCTCGCTTAACGTGCCATTGATTTCAAAGCACTTACTTAACAGGAAATGCAGGATGTTCTGTTTTACTCAGTAACAAGTCCATAAATTATGGGATAAAAGCTAGGAATTTATTTCCTTTTCATAGTAGCTTACCCAGTTTAGTGGCGCCCTCTGGTGGGTACTCGGGAAACTGACCCTCGGAAGGGACACTGACAGTTCTCCTCAGGCATCGCCCTTTGGTGGAATCTGTCTGCTGCTCCTGTCCCCCTTCCACAGGTATCTAGTTAATCAAAAGCAAAAGATAAAACTTAATAGTGAACTCACCATAACTACGTTCTGATTGAATAATGGTTTTAGTCAAAGAAGACAGGAGTGTGTAACAAAGAGTAAGGCAGGAGAAATATAGAAATAAAGTATATACAATGGTAAGGTATTACCAACCCCTTCACAGTAAGCTTTCCTTTAAAAAGAAAACTGGGCCAGGTGCAGTGACTCACGCCTGTAATCCCAGCACTTTGGGAGGCTGAGGTGGGTGGATAACGAGGTCAAGAGATCCAGATCATCCTGGCCAACATGGTGAAACCCTGTTTCTACAAAAATACAAAAATTAGCTGGGCGTGGTGGCGCCCACCTGTAGTCCCAGCTACTTGGGAGACTGAGACAGGAGAATCGCTTGAACCTGGGAGGCAGAGGTTGCAGTGAGCCGAGATCACACCACTGCACTCCAGCCTGGTGACACAGCAAGACTCCATCTCAAAAAAAAAGAAAAAAGAAAACTGAAACATCAGGAAAGGTGGGCATGTAAATTAGCTAACATGAAGTATGTACAAATCATAACCAGGTGCGTACTTGCTCCTGGAGCTCAGAAAACAAAACACCCACACAAATAAAATGTTTTTCTATATCAGAAACTGGTTCACAAGCTCCAATTTTGTCCAATGTTAAATAAAATAAATGGAAATAAAAGTTGATCAGAAAGACTTCGCCTCAAAATTATCTTAAAATATTTCATTAAAGGTAGTAAGATCACCCAAATGTTCTTCAATTTTAGAGTTGAGCACTTAGACATAGTTAATAAATCACATTTTCAGTGGAAACTTGTATAGATACCAACATAAAATGGTATATTTTCTTCCAAAGGTAAGAGTGTTTTTATAATCCTAATAAACATTTTTTCTGACATAATTTCAGAAACATATCAAGCGGTTATTTGCATATCAAGTGGAATGAGAACTATGAATAGTAAAAAAAAATCTCTAATACTAATAACTATTTTAAGACTTACAAAGCAGGTTATCAATGTAGAGTAATGGGATGGTTCAAAGTTGTGGGTTTTTTTTGGTTTTGGGGTTTTTTTTTTCTGGTAATCCTAAGTATTCAGTAATGAGATTTTACTAGTAGCTTTTATCAGAATTAAGAATTGTAACATCCTAAATAGTTTGGCAGAGTATGTCATAATTAATCATAACTCCTAATTTATTATGGCTCCAATACTGTTTTCAATATATTTCAATAATGAAACACTGAGTTCTTACATGTGCAAGTCTAATGAGTTCATATGTGTGACATTATGAGGGAGACATTATTATTATCTCCTTTTAAGAGATGGGGAATGAATGATTTATTTCTTCAAATGATTATAATGGACATGTATTGCATCAATTGATCCAGCAAAAGTAGGACAGGTATAGGCTTAAGTGTACATGCCTTCTGCTTTGCTTCCGTAATCCAACTCCTGTGACTTGGGTCAAGGAGATGATGGCAAGGAAAACTCTCTCTCTGTTACTGAGAATCCGAGGAGCAAATTCCTAATGCCTCCATAGGCACTTCAAATTTTCATACTCCTTATAGGACCCCCAATTCTCCCATTTCCTTATTACCATAACTATGGTTACTCTTTGCACATTGAGAAATTGAAGGGCAGAAGAAATGTAAAATTACAAAAATAAGCTGAGGCCAAAAAATAGCATCAATAAAGACATGAAGTCTTCCAAAAGTACTCTGTAATATAAAACTTCACAAACAGTAATCTAAGTCATCTGTCCCTTTCAGGATGGAAATTTTATTATCTCTACTTAAATAATTAAAAGAGTATCACTGATAGGTTTAAATGACTATCTCCTATTAAAAAAGGCGAAACATATCCTGTATCTGCCTTAAAAGTGGGAAGAATGACAGTAAATTTGGAAAAAATAGTCTGGTTCTTTGAAGAAATAGTTCAATCTAAATAAACATAACTATTTGATAATAGTTCTAAAAATGCCTATTATTTTAAATAATAAAGGTCTAAACCATGCAGAAAAAAAGTAGTAGTTTCTTATGGTGTTTTAGGAGGAAATATTTTTTCTATGCAAATTTATAAACGCCATATCCAAATAAAGTAAGAATGTCTTCTATGAGGACATATTTTGTCTCTGCTATATCAAAGGAGAGAATAAATACAATATTTTTTATTTGGGCCTAAAATTCACTCAATTATTTTCTCAAAGTTTTAATGTAGACTCTTTATTTCCCAGTATTAAAACTTAAAATATGATAAAAGGTTGTATTCAAAGTTTCACTTTTAAAGGTTAGGGCATTTTACTTCTCATTCAGGATACAAAGAACATAATATAACCTTTATTCTGAATTGCATTTCTTAAGTTTTTTTTTTTTTTTTTTTTTGAGATGGAGTCTTGCTCTTGTTGCTCAGGCTGGAGTGCAGTGGTGTGATTTTGGCTCACTGCAACCTCCGCCTCCCAAGTTCAAGCGATTCTCCTGTCTCAGCCTCCCAAGTAGCTGGGATTACAGGTGCCCGCCACCACGCCCAGCTGATTTTTTTTTTTTATTTTTAGTAGAGACAGGGTTTTACAATGTTGGCCAGGCTGGTCTCAAACTCCTGACCTCAGGTGATCCACCCGCCTCAGCCTCCCAAAGTGCTGGGATTACAGGTATGAGCCACACTACAGATTGCTTCTTAGCTAAAATATTTTTTAAAAAGATATTGATCTACTCCTTTAAAATTGGATAGATCCTATTTCAAGTAATTTCAAATGACCCAAGCTGAAATATACAAATCTTAGCATATAGCTAAGAGAATCAGCTATACATGAGCAATTTTCTCCAGTGTGATTGTCGTAATTTATTTTACTAGTTCATATTTACTTGTTTATACTGAATTCCTCATAAAAATTATGTATCTTCCAAGTTCTATAACATGAGAGTAAATTTTCTTTCTTTGTTTTTTTTTCTTCTCTGCCCTTGTGGCCCTGTACTGGGCTTCTTCTCATCTTCTTTTGCCTCAACTAAAAAAAAAAATTGGCTGGGTGTGGTGGCTCATGTCTGTAAATCCCAGCACTTTGGGAGGCTGAGGTGAGTAGATCACCTGAGTTCAGGAGTTCAAGACCAGCCTGACCAACATGGTGAAACCCCATATCTACTAAATACAAAAAATCAGTTGGACATGGTGGGGCATGCCTGTAATTCCAGCTACTTGGGAGGCTGAGGCAGGAGAACTGCTTGAACCCGAGAGGTGGAGGATGCAGTGAGCCGAGACTGTGCCACTGCACTCTGGCCTGGGCAACAAGAGCAAAACTCTGTCTCAAAAAAAAAAAAAAAAAAAAATCAAGGCCAGGTGCAGTAGGGCTCCCACCTGTAATCGCAGCACTTTGGGAGGTCAAGGTGGGAGAATCTCTTGAGGCCAAAAGTTCAAGACCCTGGGCAACAACGTGAGATCCCCCATCTTTAAAAAAATAAAAAATAAAAATCAGCCAGTTGTAGTGGCATGCACCTGCAGTCCCAGCTACTCGGGAGGCTGAGGCAAGAGGATCACTTAAGCACAGGAATCTAAGGCTGCCATGAGCTATGAACACATCACTGTACTCCAGCCTGGGTGACAGAGTGAGACCCTGTCTCTCAAAAACAAACAAACAAAACCGAGCACTTTAATTTCATTCCATTTTATAGGAAGAAAGTAGAAAAGGAGATATCTCAGGTATCTAAGATGTGTTAATAACAAAGCCAAACTAGAGCTCTGGCTCCCTGTCCTCTTTGTTAATTTCAAACCATCCAGGAAAATCAAAAAGCAATGTGGCACATATTTATATATATATATATGCACACACACACACATATATATACACATATATACACACACATATATATACACATATATATACACACATATATACACATATATATACACACACATATATACACATACATATACACACACATATATATACACACACACATACACACATATTTTCTGTAAAACTGCCTTTCATATTGTTTAGAATCATATGGAAATTAATGTTGATTTCAATCTAAACTCATACAGATTAAACAGATAGTCAAGTACAGGAAATCAAGATTACGCTAACTAGCATCAGAAAGCTCTTCTTATTTCTTTTCCTAAAGAATGCTAAAAAGATGCTCAGGACTACTATATGCTTAAGAGGATTTTTCAGTACTTTAAAGAAAAAACAATTCCTCAACTTTCTTATTTCCTTAAGGCACTGGTTCTCAAAACAAGCGGTCTAGGTACCAGCAGCAACAGCATAACCCAGGAACTTATTAGAAAACCACATTCTCAGTCCCCACCCCAGACCTACTGCATCAGAAACTCAGGGTAGAGCTTGGCAATCTGTGTTTTAACAAGCCTCCGACTGATTCTGATGCTCACTAAGGTTGCGAACCACTGCCTTAAGGTGTTGTTTCCTCTCCTTCCTATCATGGATAAGCATCTCAAAGTGTCAGGTATAACAGACATTCTCAACCTTGGCTGCAACTTATAATCATCTATGGGAGCTTTAAAAAAAAAAAACCAATGCTGTTCTCACTCATAAACGGGAGCTGAACAATGAGAACACATGGACACAGAGAGGTGAACAACAGACACCAGGGCCTGCTGGGGGGTGAGGGGTGAGGAGAGGGAACTTAGAGGACAGGTCAATAGGTGCAGCAAACCACCATGGCACACGTGTACCTATGTAACAAACCTGAACATTCTGCACATGTACCCTGGTTTTTTTTTGTTTTTTTTTTTTTGGGAGAAAAAAAATGCCAACGCTTAGACCACTCTAGACATTCTAGACATGCAAAGTTGAGAACCACTGATCTATACTCTGTACCTCCAATTCTAATTATTCACTTATTAGTCCTTGGCTACCAGTACTAAGTGTGAAGATATAAATAAATCATTTGGCTTTAATAAACCTCAATTTCCACAACTTTGAGGTATCTTTCTGGTATCTCAGCTGGATTCCTGGAGTAGTCAGGTTTTAAACAGATTTCTCACTGGCAGTGTCAGATCTCTGTCATTGCTCAACATGACCACTAGTATCTCTATTCTGTTTTCAATATACTTCAGTTTCTCTCTGGAAAACTTACGTAGTCTTTCCCTGGACATGTGCAGTCCAGCTAAAGACTCTCTGGTATCCTACCCAGCAGGTTCCAGCCCTTTCAGATGCAAAATTCTGTTCTGTGCCTCCTCAGCTCAGTGAGTCTATTGTACTCTGGCAGGCCTGGCCTCCAGATTACAGCACCACAGTTGGAAAATAGTATGCAGCAGACACCTGGGCAATGGTGACCAACACAGTGGCTGCCTATTGTCCAATGCCTGAAAATAGTTGTGTTGCACACCCATGCTCTCTTTCGATTGATCGATAGATGGACAGACAGATAGACAGATAGTGAGGGGGTGGTGTCCTATTTTTTGTTGTTTACAGTGGGAGGGCCCATCTTGCACCAGTCATTCTGTCATAGCTGGTGCCAAAAGCCTCTATTTATCTCTTAATTAAACTCCTGCAACAGTTTCTTCACTGGTATCTGCCTGGGACGTTCTGCCCCTTAAACCTATCCTTTACATAGTTATCATAATAGTTCCAAAATGCAAATACGATCATGTCATCCTGAGGTTTAAAGCCCTTCAGCAGTTCTTTGCCTCTAGCAGTGGTTTTCAAAGAAGTGGTGGTGTGTTTGTGTATGGAAGTATGTGGGGGTGGGGGGAAGTATCTCTGCTTCAACCTGAACATCATTCTCAGTGTATCTGTTGTACAGGGCTTCTGCATAAGCCTTTCTACAAAGAAAGTGTCCTTCTGCTTAAAAAGGGTTTAAAAACTACTATCCTATAAATTAGTGCAAGCTCCCTAATATAGTACACCAGATTTTCCACAATCCAGCCACTGTCTCTGTCTGTGTGCTCAGTTTTAGACTTCATTCTAGAAATACCAAATTGCTTGCAATTCTTTAATACATTCCCTATTGTGTAGTTCAGTGCCATGGCTTAGTTTGTTCTCTCTTCCTGAAATGTTTTCCCTCTTTCTTTTCTATTCTACATCTGCAAGGTAAACTCCTAATCATCCTGAGGCTTAGGACAGGCTTTGCATTTCCCAGGAATCTTCCTCCTCTATCAGTCCCCTAAGGGAAGGTCAAGGTACACTTCCATTTAGTTCTCCGGTAACACATCTTTCTCTGTCATTATACTTACTGTGTTAAATTATAATTATTCATTTATGCAACTAATTCCACGTAAGTTAACAGCTTGTACTTTACCAGTAAATCCCCAAACCTTAAAATAGTTCACAAATAAGTGAATGATAGGTAGAGATGGGGGCCATTTTAGGCAAAGGAAAAAGCATAACATCAGCCAGGAAGCTGGTAAGTATATGACTTTTTTGTTTTGTTTTGGAATAGGGAGTAGGCCAATTTGGCTAGAGCCTCTTAATAGGGAGAAAAGGGATGGAACAATATATTATGAACATGTTAGGAGGGCTGGAATACCAGACCACGCATGGGGAGCACTGAGAAGCCACTCAAGCTTTTAGATCTAAGGACTGGCAGTCTCCTAATTGTTCTGTTTCCTGTGTCTTGTTCTTCCAATACGTCCTACAGATTAATATTTATAACACCTAACTTTGATCAAATTGCTTCTTTTATTAAGCTTTCCTTTGGTAATTCCCCATTGCCAGTGGCATCTTAATGACATATTTAGTTAGGCTAAGGTTCTTTTTATAATTAATGGATTTCTCTCTCTTATTCTATCCATTTACTTGTGTTATTTATCAAATGTCACTTTAAAATTGTCTTATTTTTACCACTAAATTTGTTACGGGGGAGAAAGAGGAAAGAAGATCTGTCTTGTGCTTTGTAACTCCTAACACAGTGAATAACATATAAGGGCATATTATATATCTATTGAATAATTTAAAAGTGGTTCTGAATGAAATATGCCATAGGTAGCTCACCCCAGAATAAATACCAGTTAATTTTTAGCTATTTGCACAAAGACTGATATTTTCATCAACATATCTGAGTGTAAACACTTTCAAAAGAAAAATGTTTTAAAACATTTAAAAGTGTCATTTTAAATGCCTTGCTGCCTATACACCAGAATCCAGCCTTAAACATTCTAAATATAGAAAGTAGAGTTTGCATTAAGAAAAATGGAGTCAAATGGACCCTGCCTAATAGACTGTTATTGCCAAAAGAAATAAACTCATAAATTCAGCTTTTGTATTTTTATAATGGCTGTACCTCTGAGGGGTTCATGTTTGTCTTCTCTACCATTTCCCTCAACTCCTTAATCTCAAATTTACTTGGTCTCATCTCTTGCAAGCAAAATGAAAGTCAAATGGCCTCCTGTGCCCTCTTTGAACTGGGCTGGTATCAAGCCAGTTGGGGCCTTTCCTGGTACCCAGGCAAGAAAGTATATTTCATAGCACATAAGCAATATCTATTTGGCACAATTTGCATGAAGCAGTTTACTGAACCAATAAGTCATTTGTCAAGGTGACACTCCCAGCAAGCTTCTCTTTCAGCATTCTGCCCCAATCTACCCTTCTGCCACATTCCCAGATTGGTCATTGGAATATTTAACACTCTTCCCATGTATACTCCTCAAACAGACTTTTCCCCAGTTCTGACAAGAAACATGTAGAGTTAAGAGAAAGCATTAAAAGATGCCACACACTGACTTAATACATGAGTGATACTAGACTAATATAATCCTCCCACATTCCAGCAGTGCCTGGCTAAGGATTCAGTTTAAATCCTTACAGAACCCTTTTAATTAATTTTTTAACACAGCAATAAACACCCCCATGATGATTTAATTAAAGTTTAAAACCATCTTTTTAGATAATTTTAGCAGGAAATTCCTTAAACTCATTTTAAGAAATTCTAAATTATTCAATGCAAAATTCCAAGGATTAAGAGTTAAATTCTTTATAATTCTTTTTTTTTTTTTTTTTTTTTTGAGACAAAGTCTTGCCCAGTCACCCAGGCTGGAGTGCAATGGTGCGATCTCAACTTACTGCAACCTCCACCTCCCGAGTTCAAAGGATTTCTCCTGCCTCAGCCTCCCGAGTAGCTGGGGTTACAGGCACCCGACACCATGTCCAGCTAATTTTTGTATTTTTCGTAGAGACAGGATTTCACCATATTGGTCAGGCTGGTCTCGAACTCCTGACCTCGTGATCCACCTGCCTCGGCCTCCAAAAGTGCTGGGATTCCAGGTGTGAGCCGCCGTGCCCGGCCCACATTCTTTATAATTCTTAAGTGTGGGTGAAAGGTAGAAGGGTGACAGCATATTCTGGTTCCTACACAAGAAATTGATTTATAATCTTTTCATGTAATGAAATTAACAGAAAATCAAACTTATTCAAGTAAAGCAATGTAAAGCAATGGCTTCACATTTTCTTTTCCTAGAGATTTAATTCAATTTTCCCCATATAATAATGGCAGAACATAAACACCTGTCTGAGGGCATTAAACTGTTTTTGTAAACTGTTTTGTAAATTTATCCCTTCATTATTCCTCACCTGGTCTACTGCAGCAATCTTGTAACTCATCTATTTGCTTCTAATCCCTTTCACTTCATTTTCCATATAATCCACAGAGTTACTTCTCTAAGAAGCAAATCTGATGATGTCATTACCTTGCTAAATACCCTTTCCCTGGTCCAGATCATTTCCGGAATAAAATCCAAATTCCTCATCATAGCCTTCAAGGTTCTTCATTACCTAGTTCTTGCTAGCTATCACTTTTCCTCTTGCAAACTATGTTCCATGAACTCTGAATATTTTTCAGTTTGCCAAAGAGACATATGTTTCTTGACTTTGTATCATTATATACACTCAGAATGTCCTTCCCTTCTTTTTCTCCTCATGAGCCCTTATTTGTCCCTTAAGATACAGTCCAAGCATAAATTTCTCTGTAAAACACTTTTTTGGCATTCTCCACTCCATACTATAATCCATCCTAGGCCATATCTCAGTTAATCTCTTATGGTTATATTACAATTAAAAACTAAACTTGGCTGGGTGTGGTGGCTCACACCTATAATCCCAGCACTTTGGGAGGCTGAGGCAGGCGGATCACGAGGTCAGGAGATCGAGACCATCCTGGCTAACACGATGAAACCCTGTCTCTACTAAAAATACAAAAAAATTAGCCGTGCGTGGTGGTGGGCGCCTGTAGTCCCAGCTACTTGGGAGGCTGAGGCAGGAGAATGGCGTGAACCCAGGAGGCGGAGCTTGCAGCGAGCCGAGATCGCACCACCGCACTTCAGCCTGGGTGACATAGCAAGACTCCATCTCAAAAACAAAAAACAAACAAAAAAATAAATAAAAATAAACTTACTGAAGCAAAATTTATATAACATAAAATTTACTATTTTAAAGTGAATAATTCATCAGCATTTAGTACATTCACAACGTTGTGCAACTACCACTGCTGTCTAATTCCAAATGGTTTTAACTTTATTTTACCTCTCAACAAAACTGCATCTTTGTGTCCACAATACTACAAATAATGATAGGTGCTCAATAAATAAAGATGGAATCATGTATTCAACTGTGGAAAAGCACCGCATCAATTATTTTTCTCTTTTTATTAGTTTTAGAAAAATAAAGAATTAAGTTACATGTTCTGGGTAGATATATCATGGAAAGAAAGGATAGAAGATATTTTCTATTCAACTTATATTAAGGAAATAGACATTCAGAAATAAAAGTTTTTAATTTGGCTTTTGCAACATTCATTCAACAAATATTTATTGAGAGTTTCCTATGTTTCATCAGGAACTGTTCTAAGAACTGGTGGATACATCCTTGAACAAAACAAACAAAATCTTTGCTCAAAAGCTTATATTCCAGTAGGAGATGAGAGACAGTAAACATAATAAATAAATTATATAGCATTTTAGCAGGTGGCAAATGCTATAAAAAATATATTAGAGCCAGGTAATTAGGTCAGAAGTTCTGGATACAGATGTGGGGAGCAGTAGTGATTTAAAATAGGTCAGGGTTGGCCTTACTAAGTATGTGGTATGTAAGCAAAGAGATGAAGGAGGTAAGAAAATGAGCCATGTAAATATAAGAGGGAAGAATGTTCCATGCAAAGAAAAAGCCAAGACCACGGCCTTAGGGAGGAACATGCCTGATGTACTCATGAAATAACGATGAAGACAGTATGTCTGGAAAGTAGCACGTTGGGGAAGCTTTTGGCCTTTGAAACTTGGAAGGATGGAGTTGTCATTAATGGAGATAACTTACCTATGGTAAGTCATGAAGTGAAGATTAGGGCTGAAGTGTGGGGCATGTTGAAAATGACTCTTACATATCCAAGTGGAGATGTGTAATGCACAGATGGATATATGAGTCTAGAGAAGAGAGATGGCCTGGTGCAGTGGCTCATGCCTGTAATCCCAGCACTTTGGGAGGCTGAGGTGGAAGGATCACTTGAGCCCAAGAGTTACAGACCAGTTTGGGCAACATAGTGAGACTCCATCTTTTGAAGAGAGAGAGAACAGTGATATGTAGTTTTAAGATATAAAATAAGGAATCATCAGCATTAGAGGACATTTATAGTCTCAAGACTATAAATGAGATGAGATCCCTAAGGAAATAAGGTCCCATGGCGCTTCCATGTTAAGATTTGAAGAGAAGAAGAGAAATCTGTAAAGATGACTCAAAAGAAACTTCCAGAGAGGCAGGAAAGAAAAAGAACACAGTGTCATGGAAGCCAAATAGGAAAAGTGACCTTAGGAGAAGAAATGAGTGATCAACTCTACTAAATGCCATTAACAGATTAAGATGAGAACTGAGAACTGACCACTGAATTTAACAATGGGAAGGTCACTAGTGAGCTTAACAAGCACAATTCTGGCAGTGATGTGGGTAAGAGTCTGGCTGAAATAGATTTAAAGGAGAACAGGAATTAAAGACAATGAGCATAGAAGTTTTGAGAATTTGTGTTATAAAGGAGAGAAGAGAAAGGGGTGGTATCTGGAGGTACAAGTGAGGTTAATACAGGCTTTGTTTTTTTCAGATGAGAAAAAAAGCTGGGCTCAGTGGCTCACACCTGTAATCCCAGCACTTTGGGAGGCCGAGGCGGGTGGATCACCTGAGGTGAGGAGTTCGAGTCCAGCCTGGCCAACATGGTGAAACCCCATCTCTACTAAAAATACAAAAATTAGCTGGGCATGGTGGCGCATGCCTGTAATTCCAGCTACTCAGGAGGCTAAGGCAGGAGAATCGCTTGAACCCAGGAGGCGGAGATTGCAGTGAGCTGAGATTGCACCATTGCACTCCAGCCTGGGTGACAGAGTGAAAGTCTGTCTCAAAAAAAAAAAAAAAAAAAAAAAAAAGAGAGAGAAAGAATAGCATGCTGATGGGAATGATCTGATAGAAAGCAAAAAACTAAAATGTTTTTCAAAAATGGTAGGGGAGAATTGCTAGTGATATATCCTTGAACAGGCAAGAAATAATGGAATGAACACAAGCAGAAGGGCTGACCACAGTGGACAGCTCAATCACAGTTAAAAAAGTAAAATAAGGGTAGAAGGAAACAGTTGCTGTTAGGCAGATACAGTAATGGAGTGTGCAGAAGTTCTCTTGTGAATTTTCCAATTTTCTCAGTGAAGTAATAAGCAAAGTAATCAGCTCTAGGTGGGAATAATAAAGAAGAGATTGGCAGTTTGAGGAAACAGGAGAAGGTATGAAAAACATCTTCTTAGAAATTATTCTGGACTGTGTTACTCAAAGTGTAGTTCAAGCTCCTGTGCTATCTGCAAATTGTGACTAGTCCACAATAAACAAAATAGTACAGAAACCGAGAAGCAGCATGCTTGGTGTGATCAGTGGGTTTGTACAGCCTACTTTCCATGAATATATACAATTTTTATCCTTCTATTCCTTCTTTTCCTATGTTATGATTATGCTGAACATACTTAACTGAATTGTGATTTAATGTCTGTTAAACCCAATAAAAATTTGGTCTTATATATTTTTTAAATTTTTAATTATTATTTCAATAGGTTTTTGGGGGAATGGGTGGTGTTTGGTTACATGGATAAGTTTTTTAGTGGTGATTTCTGAGATTTTGGTTCACTCATTATCTGAGCAGTGTGCATGGTACCCAATATGCAGTCTTTTATCCCTCACTTCTCTCCCACCCTTTCCCCTGAGTCCCCAAAGTCCATTGTTATCATTCTTATTCCTTTGCATCCTCATAGCTCAGCTCCCACTTATGAGTGAGGACATACTCCATTCCTGAGTTACTTCATAGAATAATGGTCTCCAGTTTCTTCCAGTTTGCTTCAAATGCTATTATTTCATTCCTTTTTATGGCTGAGTAGTATTCCACAGTATATACATACACCATATTTTCTTTATCCACCCCTTGATTGATGGGCATTTGGGCTGGTTCCGTATTTTTGCAATTGCGAATTGTGCTGCTGTAAACATGTGTGCTGTAAACATGTATATCCTTGTTATATAACGACTTATTTTCCTCTGGGTAGATAGCCAGGAGTAGGATTATATTTTTACTTTTTTTTTTCATTTTTTTCTTAACAATCCACTTTATTGTATTTTATTGATCACAACAAGGTGGGTGGAGAGGAAACTGGTACTTTACCACAGATAGAATGTGAAGCACTAGTCCAGGAGAGTGGGACAGTAACTGAAGTGGGAAAATGTTTTGTGATTGCCAAGCAGCATTATGGGCTGATATGAGGTTTGCAGCCATTTGTTTAACACCAGGCAGCATGGTATGTGTAATTTTCTCCAGATACATTAAGCTGCATAGATACTGGGCAGACTAGATAAAGAGTAAGATTCACTTCAGCTATCACTTTGCCAAGTGTGTATGATGAAGCAAGGGAAGGGCAAGGAAACAGTATGCAAAGGAGTGATGAGAATGACTGACCATGGAACTCAGGGGAGAGAGAGGACATCAGAGGCTTTATAAAAGCCAGAAAAGGTGACAGGATCAATGGGTCCTAGGTCTCAGAAGGGTTGAAGGATTGCTGAAATAAGAAATGAGCTAGAAAGATAGAAGGTATTAGTCAAAGAGTAATATGCACACAATTGTGAATATGAAGGAGTTGTAGCAATAAGGTGGGATCCTTAGAGAGGAAAAAGTTCAAGGAACTGACAGCTAGTGTGTTACAAAAGAAAAATCTCTCTATGGATATCAGAATCGTAAAAAATTAAAACTGGAGTAGTCTTGGAGATAATAATGGCCCAGGGGATAGAATCAACAAAAAACGACGAGGAAGGTTAGAAGATGACTACAGGCCGGGCACGGTGGCCCACGCCTATAATCCCAGCACTTTGGGAGGCTGAGGCGGGTGGATCACCTGAGGTCAGGAGTTCGAGACCAGCCTGGCCAACATTGTGAAACCACATCTCTACTAAAAATACAAAAAATTAGCTGGGCATGGTGACAGATGCCTGTAATCCCAGCTACTCGGGAGGCTGAGGCAGGAGAATCACTTGAACTCAGGAGGCGGAGGTTGCAGTGAGCCGAGATGGCACCATTGCACTCCAGCTTGAGAAACAAGAGAGAGACTCCATCTCAAAAAAAAAGAAGATAACTATAATGTGAGACTCAAAGTTTGGACATTTTAGGGAAAACAGGGGAGAATAGACAGCAGCCATGAAAGAGGAAGACAGCTATCACAGACATTATGGTATGAGGAAAAACGGCCATCCACTGACAAAACTTAATGGAAGATAGTGTCTTCAGGGAAGATCTCAGTTCTTGTAAGACTAAGAAGTTAAGGGACCCCTTCAGAGAAAAGGTGGAAGAAACAGCTGGTTTTGCTGATGATGAACCTGGAATTGCAGTGGACACAGTGAAAGGGTTTCAAGAGGTGGAGAAGGACAAGTGGAAGACAGTGTCAGAAAAGAGAATACACAGAGCCATAGGGAGAGTACATACAGCGTGGTGGATGAGGGTTACCCAGGTGTTTAGGGTTACTCATGATGACTGGTATAAAAAGGGATAAAGGACATAAGATGTTGTTTTAGAAAATTATTTATCATGGACAGTTATATTATGAGACAAAAGGTGGCCCAAGCGCAGGTAACTCAATTGACTAATTTGCACCTTGGTTCTGGAAAAGGCATGCTTCCTGACTTTCTGCTATCTATACTTAAAGCTATTTCATCTCTTACAGTACTAAATTGAATAAAATGTAGGTAAGGGCAAAAAGATGGCAAATGATTTGTTTATATTACTCCTTACTAATAGCTCTGAGAAAAGACTGCTGACAGTACATTTGGTTAAAATGAAGATTTTGAATAGTTTGGATAATTAGAAATGTTCTATACTAATATTCACTTTACCAATTTTTATTATCTACTTAATATAAACACAGCAACATACACAACTTGTTCTAGAAAAGTCTGGCCTTTATTCAGTTATTTTAATAAAATTAAATTTAAGAATATTAAAATGCTGGAAAAGGGTTACAGGTAGGGAGATGATAACAAAAGTAAAAGATATTTTCAATGGCAAGAGAAAAAGAATGAGCAAGTTCTTCATGGAGGCATATTAACAAGCCTCTTGGAAGTAGCAATGCCGGCCGGGCGCGGTGGCTCATGCCTGTAATCCCAGCACTTTGGGAGGCCGAGGCGGGTGGATCATGAGGTCAGGAGATCGAGACCATCCTGGCTAACAAGGTGAAACCCCGTCTCTACTAAAAATACAAAAAATTAGCCGGGCGCGGTGGCGGGCGCCTGTAGTCCCAGCTACTCGGGAGGCTGAGGCAGGAGAATGGCGTGAACCCGGGAAGCGGAGCTTGCAGTGAGCCGAGATTGTGCCACTGCAGTCCACAGTCCGGCCTGGGTGACAGAGCGAGACTCCGTCTCAAAAAAAAAAAAAAAAAAAAAAAAAAAAGAAAGTAGCAATGCCTATTAAAATACAAGAAGAAACTGGAATTGTTTTATTGGTAGTATTGTTACCACATTAAAAAATGCTGAGAAAGAGAAGGGATAGGTAAGAGAAGGAACAGGGAAGGAAGGAGGAGCAAGAGAAGAGAAAGGGGAGGTAGGGATCCACAGAGGAGAATTAAGAAATGTGTTTCCTGTTGCTTCTTTTGAACTCACCTTTCTGGAAGGTGACTTACTGAATGGATATTCTACCTACATCTTTCTAGTTATTTATATAGTTTTGGCAATTAATCTTTCTCCTTCATTGAATCATATCTTCTCCTTCCCTTTCATTATTCCTCTTCTTTGTCAATATTATATTCACTTATTTTTTTATATGGTGGAAATTGGGAATTATGATGATTTTACAGAGTAGTTTTATCATACCAGATCAGAATATCAATTACCTGATTAATCACCAATAAGCAAATAAATGAGATAGCTGTGGAAGGATTTGTAAACTGTAACAGTTTGAGGAATAAAATAGTAATAGCATGTGATAAGTTTAAGAGTTTTTTAATTTAGAAGAACAGAAAGTACACCTAGAACTAGATGCCTGTCCTGGTTACATTCTGTCTACCTCGCCAGATCTATTCTACTCTCTGCCCTTCTTGACCTTGTTACATGTTTCAGGAAGCTGACCTCTACAGAATACATCAAAAAGCAATCTTTTTCTGCCTTCGAGTTAGATTTGGCCAGTAGGTGACACTGGCAAGAAATCAGAAGGCAGAAGAAAAGAGTTGGAGTGTTTATTCTGTCTTACTTCCTCCCTGCTGGCCATTTTTGTTTGGTATAGAGACTGTGTTCTTTTGTGCATAACCACAGCAACTGTCAAGCAGCATTCTCATGCAGCTACAGTTCTCTAGGTTCCAGAAACATCACTTTCTTCCCTTGCCTTGGAAGCCCAGGGTGATAACTGCTTTCTGCGACTGCTAGCTCGTGGGTGCTTCCTCATCCTTAGTTAGGTCCTTTATGCTGCCCACACATCTGCAAATAGTCCCTCCAATAAACCTCTTTCAATTAATCCAATTAATGACATTTGTTTTTGCTAGGAAGTACTGATGTAATTCCCAATGGCCCCTCGAGATCATTTGCAGGGCCAGGCCTATATAATCCAACCCCTTCCCATTCCAAACTCCTCAGTTTAACTCAGTATCTCTTCCATTGTTTCTTAGTGAAAATCCAGCCCTATCTTGTGAAACCCACTCCTTCATGAAGATAACATATCTTTATGACATTAGCAGCCTTTTAGACTTACCTATATCTTCATCAAGCCTTTATTTTTATAATCCAACTTTTCAAAATGCAAACAAAAACTAGGTAATTTCAGGAATTTACTCAGAAAAGGAAACTAACTTTCCTGAATAATATCCATCTCACCTCCTTCTCCTTGTTGAGCAATACCAACTGGCTGTCTGTGAGGATGCAATACTTCCGCTCCCACGTTGTTGTCTCGGTGTAGGGTGACTGACCACAAGACAGACGGTGGGTGGGTGGTCCTTTCACATCTGCATGAGAAAAGGGAAAAACAAAAGTGACAAATCATTATCTTGCTTAGTAAACCAGTATTTCAAATGTAAAATTCTTCCAAATCAAATAAAGAGGTGAGCCTAAACACGAATCTCAATGGTAAATTTAAAGCTTCCTCTTAAGAAAATGAAAACTATTATATACAGAATAAGGAAAAAATAGCCCTATGACCTTCAGAGAAGAGGGCTGAAACACTCTGGGAAGAACTGTTAGTGCAAACTTTACATAGTAATTACCACTGTATATAAACTATAATAATGAGAGGTTGCTTCAGAGCTTAACCAGTATCGTTTAAAATACAGAAGCAGAGTGACTCAGACACCTTCCCTAGTCTTTAGGAGAAAGATGATGTTACATGTACACTTTGAGAACACTGTTAACCCAGAACTCTGAGAGTAAATGTATCAGCAGACTAGGCCTTCCAAATGGCTTTACACTCACAGGAATTGACAATGTTTAAACAACAGCATCGTATTACCACTAGAGGCCAGCAAGATCTTAAAAACATGGAAAATAATTTTCTTAAGAAAATATCTAAATATATTACCATGATGTTTCTTAAAGGTGGAGGTACCCGATATTAAAGCAAAATGTCTCAGCAATTCCCAACTGTCTCATTTCCTTATAAAATACCAAGTGGTTACTAACATCTCTGTCATTTTCAATTTTTTTGATATAAAATGTTTACTCATTTGGGCTGCTGGAACTGGGCACATATTTTAATTTATAAGTACACATTAGCTCCATTAAGTAAAGCTTTTATGACAGTTCGATATATATTAAAAGTTCTTCAGGCATGAGGAACTAATTCTTCTCAGGAATATACTATAGAGACTACTTAACATGCATTATCATTACTTAGTTATTATGCTAAAGTAAAAACTCAAATTGAAAAGATTAGAAAACCAATACCCATGAGGGCAGGGGAGTTGTAAATCATAAAAAAGTACATTATATCTATTATATGAGTATTTTTCATTATCACTGCTTTCTGTAAAATTTTTGTCTTTTGTCACAGGATGATAGGTATATTACTGGCACTGGCTTGACTTCAAGGAAAGGCAAATAATTTCCTAGGTGTCTTACATTATAATTAACCAAATATGCATAATTATAGCTGGAGTTCTGTAGAACGTTAGCAACAAGTCAGTTGCTATATGTCTCTCTTCATAGAACTACGTAGGTCTCTGTTTATAAATCCCTTTATGTGTTCAATATTGTCTTCATTGTTTCTTCTGGTTTAACTTCCTGTCCTCTCTAAGGCTATCTAAACTGCGCTGCATGTTTGGGGGTTTATCAACTCCCCCCAAAGATAATTCAAGGTCCAAGAACCAACAGTGTTATTAGGGCTTGGTTAGACATGTTACTAATTCTTAGAAGTTCACTGTTTTGTCTTTTCTTCCCTTATTTTCTGTTTGTATCTCCTCCGCACTATGCACAGCATTACATGCTACATCTGTAGCATCTCCAATCTACACCAACCCTCTCTCCCCTACCCTCAACCCTCCCCTTGTAGTCTAAGCATCTTAAATTATTTTATGTTAGAACTGCATCTTTAGTTCTTCCAAAGTTTTCTTCTGACTTCAAAATCTCAAAATTATCACAAAAAAGCTCTAATGAAACTGACTCTTAATCCTTTTGTACATATATAGGATATTCTTGCCTACATTTAAAAGCCATGTCAAAACCAATTTTCTTCACATGATTTGGACAAAAATATGGGTTACAATTTTACCACACGTAGGCCTATTTTTAGAGTCAAATACCAAGACGACTTCAACAGAAAAAGATGCATCTACTTTATGTAGAAATATGAATAGTTTTGTGGTCTAAACAATTAGAAACTTTGACAAAATTAGACAATTTATGGTCATTCAAATAACTAGCTTTATTATATAAGTTAGCCATGGGTGACCTAAACTGCGTACTGTAAGCTTTACTGTAAATTAACTTTAGCAAGAAAACACTGATAAACCCTGTCCATAAAAATTTTAATACAGGATATTGATTAATAGCACAACCCAGGTTTCCTGACAAAATATAAATCTGTATCAACACTGAATTTAAGAAAATCTAAATTCTCTTTTCTGTGAGATCCTAATAAATTCTCTTAAAGCCTCACTGTCTAATATTCTCCCTTTGTCCAACCTAATCCTTTTCCTAATTTCTTCATGGTATTGTGAAAACAAGACAATGTCTCAAAAAAACATTCTGGAACCCCGAACCATCCCCCTCTAGTGCTAAAGATAAGAAGAAATAGAGAACAATGAAATAGAGAGCAATGCTTCTATATTAAAAAAAAATTATGTCTGTCTAAACAGAGGGATTTATTAGCCATCCTATAGATTTTACAGCTTCTTTTTCTAATGCCCATTTTTGGTCATTTTATGAGAATGTATACCAAGGGGGGAAAAAAAACAAGAAAAAAAGTGATAGTTTCTGTTCTTTTTAGCACTTCTCTATTATCTAAAAGGCATTTTAAGTAATAAAATTATGTTTTTTAAAATAACCTATATTTAACTTATATAGGTTATGTTATATCATGTTCTCATTTCCAGGGCTAAATGAAGGTTTAAAAGCAAGTAAGCAAGGCCTGTATACTGAGACTATACACGTTACCAGGACAAGCTCAGATTTTTGTCCCATTTCACCTTGCCAATCCTATCTTATTTTTTGCTCTAGTGACTTACTTTTAATTTCTGACTTCCAATTATTTTTAGTATCTAAAATTCACTAGAGAAAAGAATAACTAACTTAGAATCACACAGAAGAATCTTAATAGCAAAACTGAAAACAATTTTGGATTTGCTCTGTCCATTCCTAGGAGGATACTAAGGACAATGAATGCTGGCCTCATTACAAAAATTAAATTTTAGAAACATTAAAAAGAATCAGAGGTAAGTCAATGGATCTCTTTGTAAATACTTCTTTAAAACTGTATTATTCTGTAGACCAGCAATTCTCCACTTTCTTGACTGCAGGACTCCTTTAGGCTTTAAAATTACTGAGGACTTCAGTATATGGGTTATATCAATATGGGTTTATATGGGTTATATCAATATTTACCATGTTAGAAATTAAAACTGAGAAATTTAAAAAATATGAATTCATTTAACAATAACACTCCTACTGCATGTTAACATAGGTAACACATTTTTAATGAAATGTAACTGTTTTCAAAAAAAATTAAAAGAGCGACTCTTTTATATTTTTGCAAATCTCTTTAAAGTCTGGCTGAATAGAAGACAGCAAGGTTTTTATATCTGTTTCTACATTCAATCTATTGCTTTGTGTTCTTCTGGTTGATATACACAAAGAAAATCTGGACTCACAAATATGTAGTTGGAAAAGGAAAGAGTGGTTTAATAATATTTTCAAATAACTATGAATATTCTTCGTTAATACTATACCAAACCTGACAAGCAGTTGCTTTTCAAAAGTTAGTATACAATGTGTAATCTGAAACCAAATCAATGAACTTTTCGTATTCTGTTACATCAAAAACCACTGGTCCACCTTGTCCTTTGAGTGCATCTTTCACCCCATGTATGTGAGTTTATAAACATCATGCACCGATCAGTTAAAAAATATTGGTTCATTCAGATTTGCAGATATTCCAAATATTGACACCTTTCATTATATAATATCAAAAAAGTCACATTCATCAATCTTCAGAAAAGTTTTGATCTCATCAGAAAAGACTTCAAGTACTACTGGGAAGCTGCCAAGCTCAAAGTTGCAGATGCAAATTTTCTAACATTCTAATTTTTGCTTTTAGTCTTAAATTTTATCATTAGCAATAAATACTCTTGGTTGTTTCCCTGAAGTGATAAGTTTATGTCTTCCTTTTTTCAGAAAATGTCTGCCATATAACCAAGACTGAATAACCATAATTAGTCTTATAGTTCTACTATAAAAAATAGTTTTAAACTATCAGATCGGGGGGGTCCTGGAGATCTAGCATTCCACAGACCACATGCTAAAAACCACTGCTTAGAAAACAGAAAGTCAATGAGGTATTCTAAGAAAATATGGCAATACTAGTTTGTAACAAGATGAAGAAAGTGGGGGAAAGACCAGAGGTCTTAACAATGTATGGGAGACTGATGTAATGGCCTGGTTTAGGGATGGTCAGGGTCTGAAACAGATCAGTTATAGTGAAAATGGTAACAAACAGACCATGTGAGCCAGATTTTGAAATAGGAATCAACAGGACAGGTAACTTTCTAGTTGTTTGTGGTGGATGAATAACACAAAAGAGATGAGAGAATAAAAGAGTCACTAATAAAAATACAAATTGATAAAAGTTAATAAAGCAGGTTATGTAACTATAATATATAACAGGAAGTCCAATATAGATGGTTTTCAAAAAAGGAAGAAAGATAACCTAAAAGGGAAGCTTATTTGAAGTATTCAATGCAATCTATTATTTCCAAATAATTTCAAAACAGCATTCAAAATACTAAGTCATTTGGCCTGCCACTAAGTCTAAAAAGCAAACTTTGGGCTCCTTCAAATGCTAATATAAATTCAGTAACTGCAAATGCTAATATAAATTTAGAAACTACTTGGCAAGGAAACAACAACAATAACAATAGATCTCTCATGTGTTAACCCTTCCTTGTAATGGGAGAAAGGAGCATCATAGCATGATATATTACTTGACAAAAATGACAAACTGAATGATATGATAGAGCTGGAAATTTCAGTATAGGAACACACACACAGACACACTCCAACTTTTTTCTTAGAGGATAAGCAACTTATCTCTTCCATACTTAGGAAAAGTGCCTCAAAAATTTTATAGCAGGAGAGTAATTAAAGGGATCTGATAGAAAGCAGAAATAGGGATAAGGGAGAAAGGACAATAAGTCTATGGCCAAAATATGAAGAATGGGTAAGAAAAAATTGCTGTGAGAAATTTTATTTTTGTATCTTACGGCTCCTTAGAAGTTCATCTGAGTTGCTTTTGAATCACATCATTTACTAGTCTCATGTTTTTAAAAATTCTGACATGATATGTTAAATGCAATTGGTAAAATCATGAACCTATTGAGAGGAGAAAGAAGAAACTGGTCAGGCAGGCAGCTAGGGTGGGGCCTCAGTTGAATCCTTTCAAACAAAAGCCTGATTTTTCAGGCTATAGGCACAAATAAGGGAACTTAGACAAGGAAGCTTGCCTAAGACATGCTCACAGCCACACAGATAAGACAGGTTACAGAGATGACTTGCCCAGACATGGCCACAATGGAAAATTCCATCCCCTAACACATGTGCAGTAAGGGGAACAAAGCATTATGGAGTAACTCAAGCTAAGGGCCCACATGTACACTAGCAGGACGGGGTGGAGGTACCAGAAATTCACACCTTATGTAAATGAGACGCCCAGCCCTCATCAGTTTCGTATAAAAGCCTTTGCATTGAACTGTAAAAATGGCAACCCTCTTCTGGGCCCCCTCTCTGCGGCAGACAGCTTTCATTCTTTTGCTTATTAAACTTTTGCTCCAACCTCACCCTTTGTGACCATGCTCCTTAATTCTCTTGGTCATGAGACAAACAACTCTGGGTGATGTCTCACAATAACAGACACTACACTGTGTTGCATTGGTGAGACTGTAACACTATTAATATTTACTGCCTTCCAGAGAAAGCTTTATAAAGGGATTCTACAGAGAGAATCTTCCCAGTTAATACAAACTCTAATGTTTCATTCAGTCTCAGGGGCCTTTCATCTATCTTAGTGCCAACCTAAAAAAAGAAATAACAACAGCATAGTTTTGGGAAATCTATCTGAATAGGGAAGGTCTTAATACACTAAAAGAGAAACATATTCCCAACAGATAATTGGTGTAAACTGCAGAAGTCTGAACTGTTGTGGAAGGATAGATCTGTATTTTCCTGTATCTATACATACATTTTCATTTCCACACCACAGCTAACCTGGCTTAGAAATGGCAAATTCTTCGCAACTCTGAAATTTCAATGACCAGATTTGTTTTGGCTTTGAACCCAAAGTCAAAAAGTATTACTTCATAAAAGCTAAGAATTAAAGTGATCACTTTATTACAGAAGCAAAAACATCTGGCCAGGAACGGTGGCTCACGCCTATAATCCCAGCACTTTGGGAGGCCAAGGTGGGTGGATCACTTGAACTCAGAAGTTTGAGGCTAGCCTGGTCAACACAGTGAGACCTCATCTCTACAAAAAATACAAAAATCAGCCAGGCATGGTGGTGCGTGCCTGTAGTCCCAGCTACTTGGGAAGCTGAGGTGGGAGGATTGCATTTTTTCTTTTCATCAACATGTTCACAACAGTTTTAACAGGCATTCATGTTTAATATCATATTAATAGGCCAATTAACAAGTTTTTGGTTTTTTTTTTTTTTTTTTTTTTTGAGAGGGAATCTCACTCTGTCGCCCAGGCTGGAGTGCAGTGGCGCGATCTCAGCTCACGGCAAGCTCTGCCTCGCAGGTTCACGCCATTCTCCTGCCTCAGCCTCCCGAGTAGCTGAGACTACAGGCGACCGCCACCACACCTGGCTAATTTTTTCTATTTTTAGTAGAGATGGGGTTTTACCGTGTTAGCCAGGATGATCTAAATCTCCTGACCTTGTGATCCGCCAGCCTCGGCCTCCCAAAGTGCTGGGATTACAGGCATGAGCCACTGTGCCCGGCCAACAAGCTATTTTTTAAAAGGCAGTTCTTTATTTTTTTAATAAACAATAAAATCCTTGCCCCTGACATGCAGATTTAAAAATATGGCATACACATGGCTATCTTCTATAGACAATTTCTGATATAATAGAAGAAATAATGTTAGAGTTGTTACGTGGAGATGATTCTTAACAATGTCAATAACTGTAACAGGCTGGGCACAGTGGCTCATGCCTGTAACCCCAGCAGTTTGGGAGGCTAAGGCAGGAGGATCACTTGAGCCCAGGAAGTCAAGGCTGCAGTGGGCCATGATCACACCACTGTACTCTGCCTGGGCAACAGAATAACACCTTGTCTCAAAAAAAAAAACAAAAAAATTGTAATGTGGTTGAGGAGTAGTCCACAATATACTGCAGATTTATGCTCAAATTATTTTATAAATGTATTAATGTTGTCTGCTTAAGACCTAGTGTAGTTCCCATCAACTAAGTCACTCTCTTTCATTCTTAAAGTACAAAAGGAAAGGAAAATCCAGTCAGGTCACTTAAAGTAAAGTTTAATTTTACTTATTTTATCCCTTCATTACCTTCCCACCCTCTATATTCTGTCAAAATGTCAGAAAATAACATTTCCAGAACAACAAACAAAAATTTTCTTAGACTGATAACCACCCAACACACAGTACCTGTGAACTTTGCTTTGTCCTGACACACAATGAACATTTGGGCTGGCAAATTATATTATAGTTCATACAAATAAATGGCCTCAGTGGATTTAAATATGGCCACCCTCGTACCTTGATGAGTAATATGGATACTAAGTAATCATTCAATATGTTTAAGATATAGTCATTAGGTCAGAAATGGTTGCCTTCATGGAAATACAAGTCTTAATCCTTACATTACCATAAATTTACTATGAGACCACAACTATTTGCCGAAATAAATTTATATTGTGTCTTTTAACCTTAGCTAACCACTTTAGTTTCCTTGTCAACTACAAAGGCTTAATTTCCGACCTACTTGATCACTGGTGTCTAGTTAGTAAATCCACTATGCTCATTATCACCCTTGTTAAGAGAAGGAGAGAGCAGGAAAGAGATAACATGTGATACTTCTCTCTGGTGAGTAATTTCCTTTAGTCTAACATTTGCAGAGTTCTGCTGCTGCTTCCCTCTCAGTCTCAGCTGCATCACAGTTCAGCATGAATGTTCTAACTCTGCTCTATCACAGGTCAGAGTGAGTTATCTGGTAAAAAAGTAATAAATTCCTTGAAGGCATGACTTATTTATGGCAGACAACTTGATATTTGATAAAGGTAACACTTCTCTATAGAAGAGCTCATTTTAGTTTGGTGCCATTACTTATTTTAAGAAGATGGTAAGGATGGGGAACAATTCCTATGATAGTTCTACCTTGCTTCTCCCTTCCACATCACTACAACAGTTTGCACTGTCCTGATCACATGTGCCGTGAAATGCAAACAAAGCAGATCATATAGTTTTCTTCCACTTCTTAAATATGCACTTGAAGAAATAAGTCCTGCTGGGATATCAGGGCATGCCTCTATAGTCCCAGCTACTTGGGAGCTGAGATCACTTGAGCTCAGAAGATCAAAGCTGTAGGGTGCATGACTGTGCTCTCAATAGCCACTGCATTCAAACCGGGGCAACACAGCACAACCCAGTCTCTTAAAAGAGGTAAGTCCCTTAATTTCCACATTAAGCCAAGTCTGCTTAAGCAACTATGTGGCCTAGTTAACTGAATGGAGTCTTATGAATGGTGCCAGCAGTAAGATGAGAAATGGCAGTCCATCACAGCCTGTTCTTCAATCCCAATAGATCAGTCATAATCTACAGTTCATACTAAACCTCTTAAACAGAAAAATATAAAATATTCAAAATAAAATAGGTCACTTATATACTAATCCTTTGAAGGAAATAAAAGCCTATCTACAATTTTTTCTTAAATAAATATTGTGCTAATTTAAGAAAAGTGTAGCCAAGCACGGTGGCTCATGCCTGTAATCCTAGCACTTTGGGAGGCAGCAGCAGGAGGATCCTTTGAGCTCCAGAGTTCAAGACCAGCCTGGGCAACAAAGTGGGACCCCTGGCTCTACAAAAAGAGTACAAAAATCAGCCAGGTGTGGTGGCTTGCACCTTTAGTCCCAACTACTCAGGAGGCTGTGGCAGGAGGATTGCTTGAGCCTGGGAGGTCGATGCTGTGGTGAGCTGTGATTTGTGTTACTGTATTCCAGCCTGGGTGACAGAGCAAGACCCTGTCTCAAAAAGAAAAGAAAGAGAAAAGCATAAGAAAAACTAGCATGGCACTTAAAATATGACCATAGTATTATATTACTAAGCGATAAAAACTCAAGATCATTTTCATGTCTCGTTTCTGTTACCGACAGAAAAATGAACTACACTAAGACTTAATCTCAAACAGCATTTAATGCACATTCCTTTTGTTATATTTAGTATCTCTCCCTATATTAATATATTCTCATGCTTGCCTCTTTTTGAATTGGATCGCATCACTTTCCTTTAGGGGCAGCTGGTGTGGGAAAAGAATTAGAGCTTTTCAAGGAATGTGATTCTTTGTGGAGAGGGTGAAAAAGAGTGAACTCAGACACTAATTTCACTATTGAGAAATTAGTGTCTGACTTTTTAGCAACTGGTTACACAACCAATGCTGTGATATCACCTCTCTACCTAAGAAAGCAGAAGAAGGCAGGCTACATTAGAAATAAAAGTTGTCAAGAGTATGGCAGCACTAAAAATCTTTAATAGCTCTACCTCTATTTATAGCATCAAGTGCAATAGAATCCAGAGCTACATATGCATCTTTTCTGAATTGAGACCCATTTGAATCACAAATCGCTGAGCTTACAGTGAAAACTATCAAGGTGATAATATAAGCATCTCTAAAGAATGTTATCCGTCACTCACTAGGAATTAGATAACCCAATTCGATGAGCACAACTTAGCTGACTCATATCAGCAGTGAAAAACCTTTCTTTTTATGAAAAACCACTGACCTCAAGTGAGTGGTAGGAAACAAACACCTACAATACAAGGCTATAAAGCAGTAAGAAGCAGCATTTAGTTTTTCTCTTTAATACGGCCAACACAAATAGAAAAACATCCCTCTTATCGAAATCTAATCCATTCCTGAAAATGCATTGGATGGCAAATTTTCATGTAACAGGAGCCTATATTCCATGATTTTTTAAATGGAAAAAGAAAATTTAGTTCAAACCCATCTAAAACTCCAAATTAATTTCCCCAAATATTAAGTATTCTTAAACCCCTATACGTAATCCATCAGAAAGTTCTAAATTAAAAATGCCAATACAAAATTGTTTAACATTTGGTGAACCTGTTAGTGGGTATGTTTATACATAGTATATACATCAGACACAAGTTACATTCCCTTCGACACTACAAACCTGTACTGTAAGGTAAATAAACAATAATTTGTTAAAGATATATAATGAATGCAAATAAGGCAATAAAATTAAACAAATTACAAGGCTTTCTAAAACTAACACCATTATCATAATTTTCTTTATAAAAGTCATACACACAGTACAAGAGGACATATCCACGGCCAAGTTTATGGTTTTTGCCTCATTAGCCTTTATCACATATCTTTTCTTCAAAGTAAGAATTTTTCTAATTTCCTAGGCAAACCTACTTTTTGCAGCCTTTTCCATTATCTTAGAAGATATTAAGATTGCATAAAACCCTTAACATAATCATGAAATACAATCCTATTGGGAACATAGCTGATACAGGACAATAAGTCTATATTCTCCAACCACATTTGTGTGGCACTTATGTTTTTGGCCACAATACACGTGCAGGGTTCTTTTAGTAATATTTTAATCTGGATAGTCAATTTAAGGTTAAAAAAATTCCAAGTCGTTACAGCAAATATTTGGATTTTTTTTTTTTTTAAGGTGGAATCTCATTCTGTCACCCAGGCTGCAGTGCAATGGTGCGATCTCAGCTCACTCACTGCAACCTCTGCCTCCTGGGTTCAAGTGATTCTCCTGCCTCAGCCTCCCGAGTAGCTGGGACTACAGGCATGTGCCAGCACACCCAGCTGATTTTTGTATTTTTAGTAGAGACAGGGTTTAACCATGTTGGCCAGGCTGGTCTCGAACTCTTGACCTCAAGTGATCCACCTGTCTTGGTCTCCCAAAGTGCTAGGATTACAGGCTAAGCAACCGTGCCTGGCCAAATAGTTGGATTTTAATTGAGAAAAGAAAATATAGTTCAAGCCCATCTTGAACTAAAGTGAGAGTTCAAATACCAAGGAATATATTCATATTACAGAGAATAAAAAGAATGAACATAAGGAAGAAATGATTTATGAGTATCAAGTAGGAAAATAAAAATGAAAGCCAACTGGAAAAGAAATGAATAGAAAGGGAAAGGGGGGGTCCTTTAATGTAGAGTTAAAAGGTATCTTAGAGATCAATAAATCACACTTCCTTAATTCATAAATAAAATAAGGCTGAGAATTATATAATTATTTGCTCAAAGTGACACACCTAGCATAGCTATCTTAGAATTCAGTTATTCTGACGTATAGTCCGGGATTTTTTTCTAGCATATCAATAAAGCTTCTCCTTTATTTTTAAGTTCAATGAGTATTTGTTTATTGTAAGTAAAGCACTGTACTCAAGCCTCGGGATATAACAATGAACAAGACGGATCTAGTGACTGGACTTGTGGAACATCAACTTAATGGGGTCAAATACTGTACAATCAGTATATAACTAATTTAAAATAATTCTGATAAACACTACAAAAAAGCAGTATAGGGTGCTGTGAGAACATTCAACAAGCAATAGACTTAGGCTTGGGCATTATTACAGCTGGAAGAATGGTAGGTGGTGAAGGGAAATGTATTAGCATTTCAGACAAATGAACCACAGATGTAAAAGCCCTTGAGGAAGACGGTGGTCCTACTTCAACAATCTGAAAGGTGGGGGGCCCTACGGCTGAAGCAGTTTTGGAAAGCAAGGAAGTAGTGCAGAGATAGGAGGCTAGTGAAAAGTTTGGGGCAAGATCATGCAAAGCCCAATAAACCAGGTTAAGGAGGTTGATTTTTATCCTATGAATAATGGGAAGCATCTGAAGAATTTTAAACAGAGGAATGACACCGCTGATTTGCATTTTTGTCAAAAGGTGAACAGAGGTTTCATTTACTGAGATTAGGAATTCTGAAAGAAGAACAACTTTGAGGAAGAAGCTGAGAAATTCAGTTTGGGTCACATCTAGTCAGATAAAGTCAAGCCAAATGCTAGATCCATCTGTCTAAGGCCAAGATCTCTAACTCTGGCCTACAAAAAAAAACTGGAATTGCTCCAAGAGCTCCATAATGCCTTATTCAAATTTCATTTTAAGAAATATATGGCAGCTACTAGGTTAAAACAGTAGATTGAACATATATAATTTCACTTCCTTTCAAAACCCCACTTAAACTACAGTAAAGATAAATTTATATACGGAGAGACAGAGACATGGACCCACAAAAGTAGTGAGAACGGAAATAAAAAGTAAATAAAAGTTTAAAAGCTAGAAGAAACATGTTCAAGTGGTAACTGACTTAGCAGGCCTGAGTAACAGAATCCTAGGTTAAGAATGAGAAAAGCTAAGAACCAACCTAATTTAAACCACAGAATCCTTGAAAGGTTCAGGGATAGGCCAGTACTAGGTAGCTCTCAATGGAGAAGAGGGGTAGTATAAAATCTGTTTAAGAGGCAGAGTACCAAGATCCTCTCGCCCATTATATAGATAAATGTCCCTTCCCAACCCAGGTAAAAGAATGGAGGTTTGCTCTCCTGGGAGGGTAAAATAAATGGTGGACAAAAGAGTAATTGTCACAGTTGAGAAAAGGCTACTCTAAACATGTTAAGACATGAGCTTCCCCCAAAGGTCTCTTCAACTCCCATTTGACTCTCAAAATTAGACTTTTACATTCCAGACAGGCAATTTAGAAGAACACTCTGGGCATCAGACCATCCCAAGAGAAAAGAACTAAAGATACTAACAAAAGGGTTCCCCCGACAAACAGCAGGTCCAGGTCACCTTATAGTAAAGCCCTTAAAATGGGCAAGGTCCATCTTCACACTTAGATCCTCCAGTAAGCTTTCTCATCTCCCATTCTTAATCTGAAGCAGACCAACAAGAATTACCAGAACCAAAAGAAAGCTTCTAGCAGAAGAATATAGACATAAAAAAAAAAAAAAGAGAGACACAGAAAAAGGCAACTTGAAGGAGACACAAACAATACAGGGAAAAAACAAAACACTGTTATCCTCAAAGAGACAGATACAAGAAAAAATGGCATCCAGGAAACAAAAATAAGATATTTTTTAATAAAAAGCAACACTTACAGAGCTAAAAAGATCTTTTGTATATTAAAAACATAATAGCAGAAATGAAAAAAATGCAGTAATATAATTAAAAGATAAAATTAAGAAAATAGATCAAAAAGACAAAAAGATGGAAAAGAAAAAGGTAAACTGAGAAACCAATCTAGGAGGGTCAAGATAAAAATAATAGGCAAGAAGAAACAGAAATGAGGAAATCATTTGTGAAATTTCTCAGTACTAAATGATGTGAGTTTCTAGATCGAAACCCGAGTGTCCAGCAAAATTGATAAAAACAGATGACCACCAAAACATATCAGTAAGAAAAAAAACAGTTATGTATAAAACATCAGGAATAAGAATAGATCTGGACTTCTCAAAAGCAACACAGGAATTTGGAAGACAATGGAGCAATGAGTTCAATATTCTGACAGAAAAGTATTTCTAACCTAGATTATTATTCACTTAGCCAAACTAACAACCAAGTGTGAGAAAAAAAGGATTTTAGATAATCAAGGCCTCAAAAATTTTGCCTACCACGAACTGCTAATCAGGAAAAATACCCTACTGGAGTGTTACAGGAAAGGGTCCCGATCCAGACCCCCAAGAGAGGGTTCTTGGATCTCACGCAATAAAGAATTCAGGGCGAGTCCGCAGTGCAAAATGAAAGCAAGTTTATTAAGAAAGTAAAGGAATAAAAGAATGGCTACTCCATAGACAGAGCAGCCCCAAGGGCTGCTGGTTGCCCATTTTTATGGTTATTTCTTGATAATATGCTAAACAAGGGGTAGATTATTCATGCCTCCCCTTTGTGGACCATATAGGGTACGTTGTCATGGCATTTGTAAACTGTCATGGCGCTGGTGGGAGTGTAGAAGTGAGGACGACCAGAGGTCACGCTCGTCACCATTTTGGTTTTGGCAGGTTTTGGCCAGCTCCTTTACTGCAACCTATTTTATCAGGAAGGTCTTCATGACCTGTATTTTGTGCTGACCTCCTGTCTCATCCTGTGACTTAGAATGCCTTAACCATCTGGGAATGCAGCCTGGTAAGTTTCAGCCTCACTGTACCCAGTTCCTACTTAGGATAGAATTGCTCTGGTTCACACGTGTCTGACAAGAAGATGTCCTCCTTCAAAATGGGGGAATGTCTTAGTCTGCTCAGGCTGCCTTAACAAAATATTATAGACGGTGTGAGTTAAACAACACAAATTTATATTCACATAGTTCTGGAGGTTATGAAGTCCAAGATCAAGGTACTGGCCAATTTAGTTCCTGATGAGGGCTCTTTCTTGGCTTACAGATGGCCACCTTCTCACTGTGTCCTCACATGGGGAAGAGAGATCACTGGAGCCTCTCCCCTTCTTTATAAGGGCAACGGCCCTATTAAATTAAGGTCCCACCCTTATTACCTCATTTAATCTTTATCACTTTCCTCACAGGTCCTATGTCCAAATACAGCACACTCAGATAGAAGGCTTCAACATAAAATAACTTTGGGGAGACACACTCAGTTCATAATAGAAAGTAAACCAAGAAAACAAAAAGCATACAGTATTTAAAAAAACAGGTGCTCCAATACAGGAGAGAAGCAAGTAGTATCTCAACATGACAACGAATAAGAATAGGAGGTTGATAACTATCCACCAGTCCTGATTGCAGCAGTATGGTTAAAGAGACTGGCAGGCTGAAGGCTGTCATACCATGCTTTTCTGCCTATGTGCCATCTTTAAAAACTATTGAAGGAAGCCAGGAGCCGTGGTGCATGCCTGTCGTCCTAGCTACTCAGGAGGCTAAGGCAGGGGGGTCATTTGAGTCCAGGAGTTCAGGTTCAGCCTGGACAAAGGAGCAAGCAATACCCCTCCTCTCTCTCTTTTTTTTCTAAGAGACAGGGTCTTGCTTTGTTGCCCAGGCTGGAGTACAGTGGTGTGATCATAGCTCATTGTGACCTTTAACTCCTGGGCTCAAGCAATCCTCCCAAGTAGCCATGATGACAGACATGCACCACCACACCCAGCTAATTTTTTTTCTTTTTTTTTGAGATGGAGGCTCGCTCTGTTGCCAGGCTGGAGTGCAGTGGTGCAATCTCGGCTCACTGCAACCTCTGCCTCCCGGGTTCAAGCAATTCTCCTGCCTCAGCCTCCCAAGTAGCTGGGACTACAGGTGCTCACCACCATGCCCAACTAATTTTTGTATTTTTAGTAGAGATGGGGTTTCACCATGTTGGCCAGGATGGTCTCCATCTCTTGACTTCGTGATCCACCCGCCTCGGCCTCCTAAAGTGCTGGGATTACAGGTGGGAGCCATTGCGCCCAGCTGCTAATTTTTAATTTGTTTATTTTATTTTGGTAGGGTCTCACTCTATTGCCCATGCTGGTCTTAAATTCTGGCCTCAGGCAATTCTCCTGCCTTTCCACAACTGCTAGGATTATGGGTGTGAACCACTATGCCTGGCCTAGACCTTGTCTCTTAAAAAAAAAAACAAAAAACAACAACTAACTACTGGAGGATATGCTTGAACAAAGCAAGGAAGTAAGTAAAAAAAGAGAGGAAGATCCACACAACGAGGAATACAACCTATGAAAAAGGCAAAAGGAATTCCAAGAATGACAGCAAAAGAAACTCCTAAAATGATAGCTATTCAGGAAATAGGCCTAAAGGTAAGAAGAGGAGGGCTCCATGAGGAATGTTTCCAAGAAAAAAGAAAAGAAAGCAAAATAACACTAGATCTGAGGTGGGTGATCACGAGGTCAGGAGATTGAGACCATCCTCTGGAGGCTGAGGCAGGGGAATAGCTTGAATTCAGGAGGTGGAGATTGCAGTGAGCCCTGCATTCCAGCTGGGCGACAGAGCAAGACTCCCTCTCAAAAAAAAAAAAAAAAAGACACTAGATCTGATACGTTACCTGGTATTATCGACCTTGAGTAAAAATATAATGCAATATTACAGTAAGGTCTGAGAAGAATAAGTAATAAGAAAACTAAACAAACAGGAAAAAAGGGCAATTACAAACTTCAAAAAAAAAAAAAGGAAGGAAAAATAATAATGATATTCAACCATACTCAGCATGGCATAATAATACAAACATTGAATACTGATAAAAACAAACCAACCAATCACCAAAAACTATAGTGAGGAAGTTGGAATGGTTTTATGTGATAGCTAAATCCTCATCCGCCATAATAGGAAATCAGTAAAAAGGTCTAAAATGGATGAATAAAAAAGCAACAGTGTATGTATATTATTTGGAATTAAGAGAGATATGTAAATGCCGAAATAAAATGCTAGAAGAGTCTAAAGTTCTTTCTTCAGAAAAAGGGAACAGGGATGGAGAAAGTCAATGTAATCTGTTAAGAAAAGGATGGATAGACTGACAAAAATGTGGTAGGAGTTAAGAAATTATTTTAGGCAGATAGGAGAGGAAAAGGGGTCCTTGGAAAGTTTTTGTCTCTTTCGAAGCAGCTTCAGAAACATTTCTTGTCTAGCAGGAAAGCCCAGCTCTTAGAGCTGGGCTGGAAACCTTTGATATACAAATGCCAGCCATTAGAAACTGGGTCCGCCCAGCATGGCGATTCCTACCCTTGTTCTCTTGCCTTTGCCCCCACATGTGCCTGGCAACATGGCTGCCCCCCATTTCCCCAAGTGTATAGAAACTCATGGCACTCTGCATTTGCATATTAAAAGGCTAGGGTGGGAGGGCCAGTTTTTTCCCACAGGCTACATGAATGACATGCCTGATCAAACCAATCCCCTGAGCCCTATGCAAATAAGACACTGCCTCTTCCAGCCTCTTCATATACCTGGCTGGTTTCTGCCGCACTTGAGGTCTCCTCTCAGCTTTGGAGGCCCCCTCCCTCTGTCTCTGTACAGGGTAGCTTCTTCCTTCTTTCTTCCCTCTTCTTTCTTGCCTATTAAACTCTCTGCTACTTAAAACCACTCCACGTGTGTCCATGTCGTCTTATCGAATTTGGTGTGAGACAAGAGCCCTGGTGTTCCTCCACTCATTGGAGCCGTATCAAAATGAATAAGGCTGTCCAGTAAAACCAAGTGTAAATGGTATGAGAAAAAAGAAACAAGGGCAGACAAACCAGCTGAATACAGGCAAAAGACTTGAATGCTCACTTCACAAAAAAGAATATCCAAATGTCCATTTAACATGTAAAAAGATGCTCAACTTCATTACTCATCAGGGAAATGCAAATTAAGGCCACAGTGAGATAGCACTACATACCCACTAGAATGGCTAAAATGAAAAAGATACTAAGTATTGTTGAGGAATTGAAGGATCTGAGGGTGAGAGTATAAATTGGTAAAATCACTTTTGAAAACTGTTGGACAATATTAACTAAAACCGAACGTATACATATCTAGCAATTCTACTCCTAGATATATACCCAACAGAAATGTGGACATGTTTTAGTCAAAAGACATGTATAAGAACATACATGCCAGCACTATTCAAAATTGCCAAAAGCTAGAAACAATCCAAAATAAAAACCAACAGTAAAATGGATAAATTTTGGTAATTCATAAAATGAAATACTATATACCAGGGAGAATGAAAGAACTATAACTATAGAAAACAATATGTTTGACTCTCACAAATATAACGTTGAGCAAAAAAAGATACAAAAGATGTGTAATTTTGTTTAAACATCAAAATTGGGTAAACCTAATCTATAGTATTAAAAGTCAGTTTAGTAGTCACTGTTTGCAGGTGAAGTGTCTGGGACAGGACATAAGTGGGCTTCTGAGATGGTAATAATGTTCTGTTTCTTGAGCAGGGTATAAATTACACAGATATGCCCCTTTATGCAAATTCATCAAGCCATACATCAAGCTATACAATTTATGTACTTTGTGTACATTATCCTTTCATAAAAAGTTTACTTGAAAAAGACTGGACAAATTACTCAACCTAATTGAACCTCAATCTCCTCATCTATGAATAGGGACTATAAAAATACCTACTCTTTTAGGGAGTTTTTTGAGGTTCAAATGAGATAATGCATACTGAGTGCTTAACAAAGCACTTTGCACATACTGGCATACAATAATAACGTTTTTCTATTATTAATTATTTGGGCATTGAAAAGGAGGGAAACTGTAATTCCAGCTATTTGGGAGGCTGAGGCAGGGGAACTGCTTGAACCCAGGAGGCGGAGGTTGCAGTGAGCCAAGATCGTGCTACTGCACACCAGCCTGGGTGACAGAGGAAGACTCTGTCTCAACAAAAACCAAAAAACCAAAAACAACAACAACAAAAGGAGGGAACCATGACTATATAGTTCCATTTGAACATTTGAACAAGGCCAAATGTGAGTTATATGAAAACACTAATTTAGTGGTATAGTCAGATAACTAGATTCAAATCTTCCATGTATTACAGATGATTTGGGGCAAGTGTGATATTCTGATATAATAAGAAATACATATTTGGTCTTTGTCCCCGGTTCCTAGCACAGAACTGCTAAAATCCTTAGAATTTCTAGAGTAATCAGTTGGAGAAGCATCTTTTGTTATTCATAGTAAGTCCCTTTCAAATTTACTTAAGTTTATACTAATGAGTTGACTCTTAGTGGCCCCCAAATGGGGGCTGGTTGCCAGAGGAACCAACCCTGTGATTAGAGGGTTGGAACTTTCAGATGTAACCCACACCCCCATGGAAGAAATGAGGCTGGAGATTGAGCTAATCACCAATGGCCAATGATTTAATCAATCATATCTATGTAATAGAGTTCCATTAAAACTCTAAACAGTGGGGTTCAGAGAGCTCCCAGGTTGGTGAATACATCCACATGCCAGGATGCTGGTATACCCTAAAACTCCATAGGGACAGAAGTACCTGCCCTTAGAAATCTTCCAGACCTTGCCCTATATACTTCCTCATCTGGCTGTTCATTTGTGTCCTCTATGATATCCTTTTGGTAAACTGATAATAGTAAGTACTATATACTGTTTCCCTGAGTTCTGAGAGCCACTATAGCAAATTATCAAATCTGAGAGGGGGTTGTAAGAACCTCTGATTTTCTAAATTATACAAGGGGATAACATCACAGTTTTGTGCATGAGGGTTTAGAGAGAATTTTAGAAATAGATTACAAGTAGAAGGCAATTCCAAACAAAGAATGTTTAAAACTGTATAAGTCTATCTTGGTTTCATGTATGCGTACGTGAATACATGAGTTATTTAAAATATGATGGTAAATAGTGAAAGAAACCTCTGAAAGAGTTGACAATGGATGCCTCTGTGGAGCAGAAACTAGCTGAGGCAACGGGTAGAGATAGGGAAAGTGAATGATCATTTTCATTTAAATCCTCGCAGAACTGACTTTTTAACTATGTACATCCACTGCTTTAACTTAAACAATCAGAAAAGAAATGCTGGTTACAAGGTATTTAATCTTTCCCTTATAAATATCTAAGCAGCACTTGAAATATTAGGTTCAAACTTAGACTTCTGCATAACTCTCTAAAATTTTTATTTCTCCCATAAGAAAAGTAAGAGTACCTAAATATACCAGAAGGAAGGTAATACTAACTCAGAGCACAATGGCACACGCTGACCTCTGCTAGAATTCCTATGGAGTTGTTTAACACAACTCAATACAGATTTTCAGCAGACACAAATTATTTTCAAAGATCTTTGAGGCCCAGCATGGTGGCATATGGCCTGTAATCCCAACTATTCAGGAGGCTGATGGGGGAGGATCGCTTGAGTCCAGGAATTCAAATCCAGCCTAGGCAAAATAGTGAGACCCTGTCTCAATTTTTTTTTTTAAACGATTTTAGAGAAGAAGTTACCAAACCACAAACGTTTGGCAAAGGGAGGCTCAGAGTCAAACTGAAACCCTGGCAAGACCCATGTCCTCAACTTAGGTTATTTGATTCAATAAGTTAACACACCAGAAAGAGTTGAGAGCAATTTCTGGAACACAGAAAAGTACTCAGTAAATGTTAACTCTGATTATTATCATTCTTGAGAAGCATGAAGGTCAAGTGGTTAAGAGCACAGACTTTGGAGTCAGACTGCCTGAAAAGGAATTCCCATCCTATCACTTGCCAGCCATGTGACTCTAGTCAAGATACTTAACTTCTTAGAGCTCCAGTTTTCTCATCTTTAAAATGGAATAATGTGGTTTCTACTATGTAGGAATGTGGTGAAGATTAAGTGAGAAATATCAAGCATTACAAACAGTGCTTGGCATACTGTAAAGCCCTCAATAAATAATAGCACTTGTTATTATTTTAACTTCACACATCTGAAACAATGGGTTCATTTGTTACTCCTATTGAAAATGTTCAGATGGTAAAAATATTGTAATAAAATCTGATAGAAAAAACTGATTTAAACTGTGAATGGTCTTCAGGATTATATGATGAATGTAAATAAACCTTTCCTTGGAAATATTCTGAGGAAAAAAAGTACTGCACAGATTTGCTCTAACAAAAACATATTTCCATCTGATACCATCAGACAGACTCTAGTTATATTGCTGTGCCAAAAATCTACATATTATTCTTAATACAAACTTTACAAAGGAAAAGACAACAAATCCAGAGCCTTTTGGCTAGAGAAGCAGTTACAAGCAGAAATGAAATATAAGGGCCAAAACACTTTCTGTTATTTAGGTCTATTTGTTCAGCTTAATGTACACCATTTAGGTCAGTCTACCAATTCCCTCTCAGATTTAAAAAAAAAAAAAAAAATGAGTGGGGGGCAGGGGGGATGAGAAGAGAGAAAAAAATCTTTTTAATAGCACTGTTTTACTCTAACCAGTTATCAAATACTCCCAGCTCTAAAAGTCTCTTACCACTCACAGTTGATGGCTAAACTTGAGAGGAGTAATTGATCTTCTTCATCTATTTCTCTACAGGTTTCAATTGGTACAAAAATGTGTATATACTTCTCAAATGCAATCACAAGAATATAAAACAATGACAAATTTGATGGGTGACATCTTTTGCTATTTTTAAAAAAGCTGAATCCAAACTCGTAAGATTTAAAGAAGGAAAAGTAAGGTTGTCACTCTTTCTTAAAATTAAAGCCTGAGAAAACACACACACAAATTAAGCCTTAAATCCTATGGGCATTCAGTTGCTTTTCCAAAACTATCTGAACTCCTCTGTAGGTCCACAAACAAGACGTTCATTGTGTGGATCTGTAAATTGTATGACGTCACTGAAACACAAGCACCAATTGGTATTATAAACAGTTTGTGTTTCCAAGGATACTGGGAACTTTAAATACCCTGCATTTATACAAAGCCCAAGAGCACGACCTTCCTAACAATACAAGGAGCCTGCCCACTTTCTCTTTTTAGTCACTGTTTTCAGCAGAGAAAGGATACTGATTTTGCTAATAATTCCTCCAAATAATATACTTGGAATATTCCTCAATCATTCAATTATTCGTCTTTATATTCTTAATATAATGACACCAAAAAAAGAGGATTAAGAATTTAAATAGCCCTAGCAGGCCCCTAATAGAGAGACTCTCAAAAGGCTAGCTAGGCTGGAGTCCTTTAAGAAAACTTCATGATATAGATTTTTTGTAATGCAAAGCACATCAACACTTTTTTTTTTTTTTTTGAGACAGTCTCACTCTGTCACCCAGGCTGGAGTACAGTGGTGCAATCTCAACTCACTGCAACCTCCACCTCCCAGGTTCAAGCAATTCTCTGCCTCAGCCTCCTGAGTAGCTGGGATGACAGGCGCCCACCACCACACCAGGCTACTTTTTTTGTATTTTTAGTAGAGACGGGGTTTCACCATCTTGGCCAGGCTGGTCTTTAACTCCTGATCTCGTGATCCACCAGCCTCCCAAAATGCTGGGATTACACGCGTTGAGTCACCACGCCCATCCAACACTTCTAATTAATCCTTACAGTTATGTTCCTCTGTGTTATGAAGTACTCTTTTAGTAACACAGAGCACTTATGTGCATTTCCTGGAAAAGTTACTTTTCTTTACTTACTATTCACCTTGAACTCACATATAAAAATTCAGTATATAAACTTGTTTGTGTTAGCTGGAGTAACTACTGCAACATAAAAACACAGGTGGAATATGGGGTGATTATATTATTGTTAAAAGTCAAAAAGGTTGTATGTCTTTATAAAGGTATACAAAAAAAGATATGTAGAGCTAAGTTGTTATAAACGTCTGTAGCTAAGCTCTTCTCTAATACCTATCCAGAGGTAGGCCTAAATATTTATATTATGCTCACATCAAATTTATTTGTTTTCCATGAGTTACAAACATGAGGGTTTGGACAATTCCAGAGTTCTTATTTTTCTACTTAGGAGATAAATATTTTAATCAAGTATTTCTCAAAATACAGATTGGAAACTGGCAAGGAAAAAAGGGAGAATTCACAGAGACTAAAATTAGAGAGTTCCAAAGAGCTGTTTAATAATGATGGCAGCAGCAAGGAGCTCGGAGCTGTATGAATAGAATGACCTCCACACCTTCTGGCTCTTCTCCTTACTGCATCTCACATTCAGACTGTTCTAACGCCAAGATTATAGAACAACAACAATTTCTATTTAGCATTCACAGTTCATCAATTTATTAAACACTGAATATCAGTCTAAGTACAATAACAAGAACAAACTGCCAAATTTGGGAACAAATCACTGATTTATGATAAGCTTACAACTGATGGGTGCAGAAGTAAGTGGGCATGTTGAAGAGCAGTCCTCTCCAACATGTTCAATGCACCATTAGCATCAGTCAGTAGGTTTCACAGAAGGAGTGGAGAAATTTGGGGGAATTAATCATGTCAGTTAATCCAGCAAGTCCTTTATAAAATACTCTTGATATTTTAGTGAAGTTAGTTATTTAGGATATAGAGTTTGACTTAAGGAAATAAAATAATGGGAAATATTTTACCTGTAAGTGAATTTGTTTTTTCTTATTTGGAAGACTTTTTAAAAACTTTGTATGAACGATTCACCTAATAGTGTTAATGAGAACTCTACAATTCTTAACAAAAGTCAAGACTGTAGGGAAAAATAAAACTAGAAACACACATTAGATAAAAGGTGCCAGACTTTCTTGAATCTTCCAGTTTGCTAAAATTATTATCATATATATATATATATATATATATATATATATATATATATATATATATATATTTTTTTTTTTTTTGAGACGAGTCTCGCTCTGTCGCCCAGGCTGGAGTGCAGTGGCGTGATCTCGGCTCACTGCAACCTCCGCCTCTCCGGTTCAAGCAATTCTCTGTCTCAGCCTCCCAAGTGGCTGGGATTACAGGCGCCAGCCACCACGCCCGGCTAATTTTTTTGTATTTTTAGTAGAGACGGAGTTTCACCATCTTGGCCAGGCTGGTCTTGAACTCCTAACCTCGTGTTCCACCCACCTCGGCTTCCCAAAATGCTGGGATTACAGGCGTGAGCCAACGCGCCTGGCCTCAAATATATTTTTAAAACAAAATTTACATCTGTGACGAAGGCAAAACAAACCTTACATTTCAGGTCATTTGTAAGATCATTAGGTCTAAAATAAAAGATTATTTTTCAGTAATTCAAACTGTTAAGGTTGTTTATGGCTGTACTCTACACTCTGAAGTCTAAATACAATGATTAACAAAATAAACATCACTAGTGATATCAAAACATGCAGGGGGGAGTGACCCATCCCCGTAATCTCAGCACTTTGAGAGGCCAAGGAGGGAGGATGACTTGGGCCCAGTATTTCAAGACCAGCATGGACAACAAAGTGAGATCCCATCTCAACAAAAAAAATTAAAATATTAGCTGGGCATGGGAGCACACACCTGTAGTCCCAGCTACTGGGGAGGCTAAGGCAGGCCTGGAGGCCAAGGCTACAGTGAGCTGTGTTCACACCACTGCACTGTCCAGTGAGTGACAGAGAGAGACTTGGCCTCTAAAAACAAAACAAAACATGTAGTTTACCTAGGAAGACGGACATCTTTTAATAACAGCTTTATGAAGATACAACTAACATAGCACATAATTTAGCCATTTAAAGTGTACAATTCAACAGTCTGTACTTTATTCACAGATATGTGCAATCAACATAGACGATTTTAGAACATTCTTGTCAGCTCAAAAAGAAGTTTCACACTTTGGGAGGCCGAGGCGGGCGGATCACGAGGTCAGGAGATCGAGACCATCCTGGCTAACACGGTGAAACCCCGTCTCTACTAAAAATACAAAAAAATTAGCCGGGCGTGGTGGCGGGCGCCTGTAGTCCCAGCTACTCGGGAGGCTGAGGCAGGAGAATGGCGTGAACCTGGGAGGCGGAGCTTGCAGTGAGCCGAGATTGCGCCACTGCACTCCCACCTGGGCCACAGAGCGAGACTCCGTCTCAAAAAAAAAAAAAAAAAAAAAAAAAAGAAGTTTCATTGCCCTTTACACATCCATCCACCCATCCCCCTCGGCCCTAAGAAACTACTAATCTGCTTCCTGTCTCTATATTTCCATAGTCTGGATACTTCATATGAATGGAATCATATAATATGTGTGGTCTTTCACTTAACATAATATAATCAAGATTCGTGTTTAGAAAGTGTTAGTACTACATTCTTTTTAGGGCTGATTATTATTCTATTGTATAGATATACTACATTTTATTTATACATTCATCAGTTGATGAACATTTGGGTTGTTTCCACCTTTTGGCACTTATGAATAATGCGGCTATAAACATTCATGTATGAATTTTTATGAGGACATACGTTTTCATTTCTCTTGGTTATATAACTTGGAGTGGAATTGCTGAGTGATTTAGTAATGTTATTTTAATTGTTTGAAGAACTGCCAGGCAGTCTTTCAAAGCAGCTACACGATTTTATGTCAGCAATGTAGAAGGGTTAAAATTTCTCCACATACAAGTCAACACTTGTTATTATCTGACTTTTTGATTCTAGATATCCTAATAGCAAGATGTGGTATCTCACTGTTGTATTGATTTGTATTTCCCTAATGATTAATGATGCTGAGCATCTTTTCATGTGCTTACTGGCTATTTGTATACCATCCTTAGAGAACTATCTACTCAGATCCTTTGCCTGTTTTTAAAATTGGCTTGTCTTTTTATTATTGAGATGTAAGAGTTTTTATATGTTATGGATACAAGTCCCAAATTAGGTAATTAATTTGCAAATTTTTTCTTCCATTCTGTGGGGATGTCCTTTCACTGTCGTCTTTTTTTTTTTTTTTTTTGAGATGCAGTCTTGCTCTGTTGCCCAGGGTGGAATGCAGTGGCGCGATCTTGGCTCACTGCAAACTCCACCTCCCGGGTTCAAGTGATTCTTCTGCCTCAGCCTCCCGAGTAGCTGGGACTACAGGTGCGTGCCACCATGCCTGGCTAATTTTTAGTATTTTTAGTAGAGACGGGGTTTCACCGTTTAGCCAGGATCGTCTCCCATCTCCTGACCTCATGATCCGCCCGCCTTGACCTCCCAAAGTGCTGGGATTACAGGTGTGAGCCACAGGGCCCAGCCCTCCTTTCACTGTCTTGATGGTATCGTTTTGTTTTAAATATTGATGAAGTCCAATTATTTATTTTTTCTTTTGTTCTTCATGCTTTTGATGTCACTTCTAGAAATACTTTGCCAATCCAAGGTCATTAAGATTTAGCTATGTATCAATTCTTTTTTTTTTTTTTTCTTTTTTGAGACAGGGTCTCACTCTGTTGCCCAGGCTAGAATGCAGTGGCATGATCATGGCTCATTGCAGCCTCAACTCACGGGCTCAGGTGATTCTCCCACCTCAGCCTCCTGAGTACCTGGGACTACAAGCACACGCCACCAAGCCTAATTTTTTGTATTTTTGGTAGAGGTGGGGTTTTGCCATGTTACCTAGGTTGATCTTGAACTCCTGGGCTCAAGCACGTGGGCAGCCACCTGCCTTGGTTTTCCAAAGTGCAGGGATTACAGGCGTGAGCCACCATGCCCAGCCTACATTAATTTTTATAAAGTTATTATACTCTTATGATGAGTGGTCTTGATAACCTTGTCGAAAATCAATTAGTTTTATTAGACACTTGATTTTATTTCTACACACACACACACACACACACACACACACACATATCCCTGAGCCAGCACCACACTGTCTTGATTCTTGATTGGTTACTACTACTTTGTATTAAGTTGTGACATTAAGAAGTGTTCTTTTTATCCCCTATGATTGTTGTGGCTATTCTGGGTTGCTTGCAATTCCATATAAATTTTAGAATCAGTTTGTCAATATCCACAAAAAAGTCAGCTGGGATTCTGACAGGGATTGTATTGAATCTGTGGACCATTTTGTGAGTATTGTTGACATCTTAACAACACTAAGTCTTCTAATCAATGAACATGGGGTGCATTTCCATTTATTTAAATCTTCTTTAATTTCTTTCAATAGTGTTTTGTGGTTTTCAAAGGTTTTGCACTTCTTTTATTAAATTCCTAAGTATCTTATTCTTTTTGATGTTTTATGAATAAAATTATCTTAAATTTTTGGATTATTCATTGCAAGTATATAAAAATACCATTGGGCCAGGCGCAGTGGCTCATGCCTGTAATCCTAGCACTTTGGGAGGCTGAGGCAGGTGGATCACCTGAGATCAGGAGTTTGAGACCAGCCTGGGCAACACGGTGAAACCCCATCTCTACTAAAATACAAAACTTTAGCAGGGCATGGTGGCGTATGCTTGTAGTCCCAGCTACTCGGGAGGCTGAGTCAGGAGAATTGCTTGAACCCAGGAGGCGGAGGTTGCAATGAGCCGAGATCATGCCACAGCACTCCAGCCTGGGCGACAGAGCAAGACTCTGTCTCAAACAAAAACAAAAACACTGATTTTTCTATACATTGATTTTGTATCCCATAATCAAGGTGAAGTTATATATTTACTGTATATTTTAGTGGATTTCTTAGGATTACATACATGTGAACATATCACTTGCAAACAGAAATAGTTTTACTTGTTGGTTTACAATCTGGTTGCTTTTTATTTCTTTATGTTGCCTAATTGCCCTGGTTAGAATTTCCAAGAAGATGTTGAATAGAAGTAGTGAGAGCAAACATCCTTATCTTTTTCACATTAGGAGGAAAGTATCTAATGTTTCCTCATTAAGTATGATATTAGCTGTAGATGTTTGTTGATGGCCTTTATCAGGCTGAGAAAGTTCCCATTTACTTGTTGAGTGTTTTTTATCATGAAAGGTGTTGAATCTCATCGAATGCTCTTTCTGTGTTTATTGGAAGAATCATGTTTTTTTCCTTTATTCTATTAATATGATATATTACCGTCATTGATTTTCTTATGTTCAAACAACCTAGCATTCCTGGGATACATCCCACATGGTCATAGTTTATAATACTTAGATGTTGCTGGATTCAATTTGCTAGTATTTTATTGAGGATGCCCCTCTATTTCTAATAAGAGGATTCCTTTGTTGTTACTGTTTAGTCTATTTTCTCTGATGTTAGTATAGCCACTTCAGCCTTCTTGTTGTTGCTCCTTGTATGATACATGTTTTTCCATCCTTTTACTTACAACCTATTTGCATTTCTTAAAGTGTGTCTCCTGTAGAAAACGTATAGTTGATTCTTATTTTTAATCCAGTCTCACAAGCGCTTTTGATTGGATTGTGTAATCCTTTCACATTTCATGTTGTTATTGACATAACTGAATTTATATCTACTATTTTACCTTTTGTTTTCTATTTATCTCTTGTTTTGTTGTTGTTCTTCTATTTTTCTTTTACTGCTTTCTTTTGCATTAAGTGAATATTTTCTAATACATTTAAATAAAGTTATTTTTCATTTTTTAAAAAAGCTATTGTTTCCTCGTTTCTCTATGGCTTACCATACATATCTCACTAGAATCATCTTCAGATTTGTTCTAATTTAATTGCAGTGGGATATAGAAATTTTACTCCCATACAGCTCTATTCTCTTTCTCCACTTTATTGTTATAGATATTACATGTATTAATATTATAAACCCAATAATATTAATACATTGCTATAATTACTTTACAATCATTGCTTTAGTCCAATACAGCTTTATTCCCACCCATGTCTTTCGTGCGTAATTAGCAAATATACTATGATATATTACGTTTCTATATGTTATGAGCCCAACAATAATAATATACATATTATTTTATGCAATTGCTTTTTCAATTAGAAAAAGAAAGGAGAAAATAAGCATTTATACTATCTTTTAAAATTACATAATTAGCTTTACTGGAGCTCTTTGTTTTTTTTCATTTGGATTTGAATTACTGTCTGGAGTTACTTGCTTTCAGCCTGAAGAACTTCCTTTAGTATTTCCTCTACGGCAAGTCTGCTGGTGACAATTTGTCTCAGTTTTTGTTTCTCTGGAAATATCTTTATATCATTCTGATTTTGCTTATATCTCAACAAAGATAGCTTTGTTAGACATAAGATGTTTGGTTGACAGTTTTTTTGGGTTTTTTTGGATTTTTTCCGGAGTACTTTCAGTATGTTATCCTATTGTCTCCTGGCTTCCTTTTTTTTTCCCCCACAGAGAAGATGTTAATCTCACTGGAGCTTCCTTGTAAATAATGAGTGGTTTTTCTGTAGCTGATTTCAAGATTTTCTCCTTGTACTTGACTGACAGTATTTTTATTATTATGTGCCTATGAATTTCTTTGTGTTTATCCTACTTGGAGTTCACTGAGCTTTCTGGCTGTGCAGCTTATTGTTTTTCAATAAATTGGGGGAGTTCTCTGCTACTGTTTCTTTGAATATTTTTCTGTTTCTTTCTCTCTCTCCTCTCCTTCTGTATTCCTGAGAAGAAAGAATTCCAACAAGGAGCTGAGGAAAGATGGAGCCTTGTGTTCTTGGCTTGGTTGCCAAGATTTGGTTGCAACAGTCTCAGTGAGCTCAGTAGTGGGAGGTCAGGAGCAGTTTCAAGTATTACAGACTCTTGCTTTTTCTTAGCATATTTTTCTAAGTTTTCTTGAACTTTTGTAGGTTTTTCTTCATTTATTGTATGCCTTTATGACCATTTCCAAAGGCTTTAAAATAACTGTTTTCTTTATAAGTTTCAATAATTTCACTGAGAAATGGATCAGCAGATAGACTGCAATGCCAAAAGTTGACATAATCCAGACATTAACTTTTAAAGACCCTGTGCATGTAATTACAGTTATGATATATGAAACGTACAAAATATTATGAGTATATAATATGGGGAGACTTAATCTAGTTTTGGGGATCAGGGCACATTTCTCTAAGAAAGTGACATTTGAATTGAGCTCTGAAGGATAAATAGACATTACCCAGAAGAATAAAATGATGGGGAAGAAGGAGCAGCAAAAGATCTCACACAGAGACAACAGCATTTGACTTGAGGTGAAAAGGAACATGGCACATTCTGGGAACTGAAAGTAGGCCAGTCATTGGAGCAGAAATATGATGGAGACGAATGGCTCCAAGTAAAGCTTGAGAAGCAGAGGCCAGAGTGTGTTATAAATTTTAAGCCTAATTTCAAAAAGAATGGACAACCATTGGATAGTTTTGAATAGAAGACTTACAGGATCGGATTTGTCTCTTTGAAAGATCATTCTGGCTACAAGTCAGGCCTCTGAGCCCAAGCTAAGCCATCATATCCCCTGTGACCAGATGGCCCGAAGCAAGTGAAGAATCACAAAAGAAGTGAAAATGGCCTGTTCCTGCCTTAACTGATGACATTCCACCATAAAAGAAGTGAAAATGGAAGGTCCTTGCCTTAACTGATGACATTACCTTGTGAAATTCCTTTCCCTGGCTCATCCTGGCTCAGAAAGCTCCCCCAATGAGCACCTTGTGACCCCCACCCATGCCCGCCAGAGAACAACCCCTTTGACTGTAATTTTCCTTTACCTACCCAAATCTTATAAAACAGCCCCACCCCTATCTCCCTTCACTGACTCTCTTTCGGACTCACCCGCCTGCACCCAGGTGAAATAAACAGCCTTATTGTTCACACAAAGCCTGTTTGGTGGTCTCTTCACACTGACACGAGTGAAACTACATACAGACAATTGACTCAAAAAAATCTCAAATATAGGGACACTTTTGCTTAGAAGCTGTAACAGGTTGAATTGTATGCCCCCCAAAAGTATGTTAAAGTTATGGCCCTTGGTATCTGCGATTGTGACCCTATTTGAAAATATGGGTCATTGCAGACGTAATTAAGTTAAGGTAAAGTCATATTGGAGTACGGTGAGTCTGAAATCTAATCACCCAAATCATTATAATAAAAGAAAAATTTGAAGTCACAGAAGAGACACACAAATAAGGCAGCCATGTGACACCGGAGACAGAAATTAAGGTGATGAAGCTGAATGCCAAGAAACACCAAAGACTGTCAGCAACCACCAGAAACAAGGAGAGAGGCATGAAACAGATTTTCCCTCAGAGTCTTGAGAAAGAACCAACCCTGCTGACACCTAGATTTTAAGCTTCTAGCCTCCTGAACTGAGAGAGAATAAATTTCTATTGCTTTAAGCTACCTCTTTGTGGTAATTTCTTACAGCAGTCCTAGAAAATGAATACAGAGGCTGCTACGGTAATCCAGGCAAGGTTTACCAGTTACTGGTAGATTGAGACCAATATAGTCGGGGGAGAGATAAACGAAGGTTGTAATAGAGAAATATTTAGGTGGCAAAAAGAATAAGAATTGCTGACGAACTGGATTTAGTGACAGGGAAAGCAAGGTGTTAAAGATGGTCACTTGATTTCTGGATTATCCAATCAGATGGTAGATTTTGATTTCAGGATTTTCTTGCATCAGACCCTTTTCTAACTATCATTATAAAGTTTTTCCCTTTAATTCATATCTAAAGATTCCTCCTTGAGCTTTATAGGCCAAAAACTGTATTCTGATCTTAATGATTTCATTTCTATTTCATTTCTCTTTCTTTAGTAGCATTTTAGGGATCTGCAACTGAAACAAAAATATAAAGAACTAGACTGCCAATTCCAAAGCATCACACCATCAGCCTGAAAGTACTCTTTTCTTAAAAACAAAATAAATTTTTTATTTTCTAATCTCCATACAACTATAAACATCAAAAAACAAAATGTTAACATTTTACATAAATATTAATGTTCATATTGCCATACTGCTGAGATAGATTACATCTCCTCCTATTCCAACATTTCCTTCCTAGTATAAGTGAATAGTGAGATTTCAGAGTGAGTATACTATCTGCATATTCATAATTTACCCCTGGATTTTTATTATTTCAATGTAAAATGCAAAATTAATAGGTTTAGAATATATTTTTCCACATAATTTTATTTTAAAATATTGAATTAAATTCCTCAGAATTAATTTTAAAATAAAACTCATTCAGGCTCAATCATAATCTCAAAGTGGATTACGAGGAAATTAGAACAAAAATTTCCTCCACCCCCACATAAATTTTCAGTTTATAAAATTTTTCAAGCACTTTATTCTCTTAAATAACATAATTTTTCAATGTTTTTGGACCCCAACCAGAAATGAATTTGGCAAATCTGAAACCTTTATGTGTATATCTTTTCTGATCTGACCATCTGACACTTAGAGACTTATATATAAACATTTAGTTAACTGTAGCTAATTTAAAATAGTTAAAATTTACATAACATTCTATTTCAAGCACTGACTATATTTGCAACCATCTTTACAAGGCTAATTCATTAATGAGGATGAAAGAATAAAGTAAATAGTTATGTTTTTACTTTCCCTACTAGACTGATAAGCATCTGAAGAAAAAGACTGTTTTACTTTTTTAATGTGCCATACACATAGTAGCCACTTGATCAATAATTATTGAACTGAATTAACATACAATTCTACTGTGGCAGGACAGGCTACATGATCTTTCAAGGTTCTAGCCCATGTTTTATCACTGTAATTAATCAACCATTCCCTGTCCCCACTTTCATCCTTTTTCTTTCCTTTAAAAAGTACCAAAGCTCATTTCAATTAAAACTATGTAGATAAATGAGGAATTATGTTCAGTCATTAACTATAATTTACATATACTGATTTTTACATATAGTTTTAGTATACTGTGGCAGCAAGTATCTACATTTCTTAAGTGATGAGGAAATCACAAAAGGGAGTGTTCTAACGGAAGCATCAACACTCCCACATTGCACATATACAGTAATTTTGGATTGCTAGTTAAGCAGATTTTTAAAGATTGTATGAGCAAGTTATTGTCAATGGAGAGAACAAAGTTATAAGCTTACATAGTACCTTTCTCCCACAGATGTAAAGCATTTTCCATCATTTTCTTTACGATCTCCCATGACGTAGGCAGATGGCAAGATTCTCCTAGCTTTAGATGGCTAGATTTAGACACGAAAAGGTTAACCAGTTTCCCAAAGAGTCCAAGTGAGTCAGGAACAAAACAGAAATGGAACCCTAAACTCCTGATTCTTAGTTTCCTACAAAAACTATCAGACCTCACTTCACTCTTGCTTTCTCTGATCTTAGAATTTTACAAAATAGTAACAAAAGTTATTAACAGTAGCAGCAAACATGACACTTACTAAATGCTAGCTAGCCCTTGACTGTACTAAGAGCTTTACATCCTCATGTAAGCCTCACAGTACCCCTGTGACTTTATTTTACTCATCTGTAAAATAAGTACATTTGATTCGAAGACTTTATGGTCTTTAAATTTCAAAATAACGTGACTAAGCAAACACAGTGTAAGGACACACATATATATATAGTAAGGTGTTTGCTTATAAGTGTTCACTGCAGTCCCCATAGTTGTAAACTTTTATAAAGAAATAAGGTTTTCTGGATCTGGCAAGATGACCTAATAGGAACAGCTCTGGTATGCAGCTCCCAGCGAGACCAACGCAGAAGGCGGGTGATTTCTGCATTTCCAACTGAGTGGCGCCTGGAACCCCAGCAAGACAGCACTGTTTACTCTCCTGGAAAGGCAGCTAAAGCCAGGGAGCCAAGTGGTCTCGATCAGCGAGTCCCACTCCCAAACAGCTCAGCAAGCTAAGAACCACTGGCTTGAAATTCTTGCTGCCAGGACAGCAGTCTGAAGTCGACCTGGGATGATCAAGCTTGGTGGGGTTGGGGCGTCCGCCATTGCTGAGGCTTGAGTAGGCGGTTTTCCCCTGACAGTGCTAAGGAGGCCTGGGAGTTTGGACTGGGCAGAACTCAACACAGCACAGCAATGTGGCTGTGGCCTGACTGTCTCTCTAGATTCCTCTTCACTGGGCAGGTCATCTCTGAAAGAAAGGCAGCAGCCCCAGTAAGAGGCTTATTGATAAAACTCCCATCTCCCTGGGACAGAGCACCCTGGGGGAAGGGGCGGCTGTGGGCGCAGCTTCAGCAGACATAAACGTTCCAGCTTACTAGCTCTGAAGAGAGCAAGGGGATCCTGACAAAGAGGGCCCTTCCAGCACAATACTCAAGCTCTGCTAAGGGACAGACTGCCTCTTCAAGTGGGTCCCTGACCGCCAAGCCTCCTGAGTGGGAGAGACCTCACAACAGGGGTTGACAGACCCTTCATACAGAAGAGCCCCGGCATCAGGCTGGTGCCCCTCTGGGACGAAGCTTCCAGAGGAAGGAACAGGTAGCAATTTTGCTGTTCTGCAGCTTCCGCTGGTGATAACCAGGCAAACGGTCTGGAGTGGACCTCCAGCAAACTGGAGCAGATCTGCAGAAGAGAGGCCTGTTAGAAGAAACACTAACAAACAGGAAGCAATATCAAAATCAAACACTAACAAACAGGAAGCAATATCAAAATCAACAAAAACGACCCATACAGAAAACCCATCCAAAGGTCATTGGACTCAAAGATCAAAGGTAGATAAATCCACGAAAATGAGGAAAAACCAGAGCAAAAATGCTGAAAATTCCAAGAACCAGAATGCCTCTTCTCCAAATGATCACAACTCCTGTCCAGCAAGGGCACCAAACTGGACAGAGAATGAGTTTGACGAGCTGACAGGAGTAGGCTTCAGAAGGTGGGTAATAACAAACTCCTCTGAGCTAAAGGAGCATGTTCTAATCCAATGCAAGGCAGCTAAGAACCTTGACAAAAGGTTACAGGAACTGCTAACTAGAATAACCAGTTTAGAGAAGAACATAAATGACCTGATGGAGATGAAAAACACAGCACGAGAATTTCGTGAAGCATACACAAGTATCTATAGCTGAATCGATCAAGCAGAAGAAAGGATATCAGAGATTGAAGAACAACTTAATGAAATAACACGTGAAGACAAGATTAGAGAAAAAAGAATGAAAAGGAACGAACAAAGCCTCCAAGAAATATGGGACTATGTGAAAAGACCAAACCTATGCTTGATTGGGGTCCCTGAAAGTGACAGAGAGAATGGAACCAAGTTGGAAAACACACTTTAGGGTATTATCCAGGAGAACTTCCCCAACCTAGGAAGACAGGCTAACATTCAAATTCAGGAAATACAAAGAACACCACAAAGATACTCCTTGAGGAGAGCAACCCGAAGACACATAATCATCAGATTCTCCAAAGTTGAAATGAAGGAAAAAATGTTAAGGGCAGCCAGAGAGAAAGGTCAGGTTACCTACAAAGGGAAGCCCATCAGACTAACAGCAGATTTCTTGGCAGAAACCCTACAAGCCAGAAGAGAGTGGGGGCCAATAGTCAACATTCTTAAAGAAAAGAATTTTCAACCCAGAATTTCATATCCAGCTAAACTAAGCTTCATAAATGAAGGAGAAATAAAATCCTTTACAGACAAGCAAATGCTGAGAAATTTTGTCACCACAAGGCCTTACAAGAGCTCCTGAAGGAAGCACTAAATATGGAAAGGAAAAACTGGTACCAATTACTGCAAAAACATAACAAAATATAAAGAACAGCACTATAAAGAAACTGCATCAACTTATGTGCAAAATAATCAGCTAGCATCATGATGACAGGATCAAATTCACATACTAACGATATTAACCTTAAATGTAATGGGCTAAATGTCTCAGTTAAAAGGCACAAACCGGTAAACTAGATAAAGGGTCAAGACCCATCGATATGCTGTATTCAGGAGACCTATCTCACATGCAAAGACACACATGGGCTCAAAATAAAGGGAATGGAAAGCAAAAAAAGCAGGGTTGCAATCCTAGTCCCTGATAAAACAGACTTTAAACCAACAAAGATCAAAAAAGACACAGAAGGGCATTACATAATGGTAAAGGGATGAATGCACCAAGAAGAGCTAACTATCCTAAATATATAAGCAGTCAATACAGGAGCAACCAGATTCATAAAGCAAGTTATCAGAGATCTACGAAGAGACTTAGACTCCCACACAATAATAGTTGGAGATTTTAACACCCCACTGTCAATATTAAGCAGATCAACGAGACAGAAAATTAACAAGGATATTCAGGATTTGAACTCAGCTCTGGACCAAGTGGACCTAATAGACATCTACAGAACTCTCCACCCCAACTCAACAGAATATACATTCTTCTCAGCACTACACAGCACTTATTCTAAAATTGACCACATAATTGGAAGTAAAACACTCCTCAGTAAATGCAAAAGAATGGAAATCATAACAAACAGCCTCTCAGACCACAATGCAATCAAATTAGAACTCAGGATTAAGAAACTCACTCAAAACCACACAACTACATGGAAACTGAACAACCTGCTCCTGCATGACTACTGCGTAAATAACGAAATTAAGGTAGAGATAACGAAGTTCTTTGAAACCAATGAGAATAAAGACACAACATACCAGAATCTCTGGGATACAGCTAAGGCAGTGTTAAGAGGGAAATTTATAGTACTAAATGCCCATATCAGAAAGTGGGAAAGATCTAAAATCAACACCCTAACATCACACTTAAAAGAACTAGAGAAGCAAGAGAAAACAAATTCAAAAGCCAGCAGAAGGCAATAAATAACTAAGATCAGTGCAGAACTGAAGGAGATAGAGACACGAAAAACTCTTCAAAAAATAAATGAATCCAGGAGCTGGTTTTCTGAAAAGATTAACAAAATAGATAGACTACTAGATAGACTAATAAGAGAGAAGAATCAAATAGACAAAATAAAAAATCATAAAGGGGATATCATCACTGATCCCACAGAAATATAAACTACCATCAAACTACCATCAGAGAATACTATAAACACCTGTATGCAAAAAAAACGGAAATTCTAGAAGAAATGGATAAATTCCTAGACACACACACCCTGCCAAGACTAAACCAGGAAGAAGTCAAATCCCTGAATAGACCAATAACAAGTTCTGAAACTGAGGCAGTAATTAATAGCTTACCAACAAAAAAAAGCCCAGGACCAGATGGATCCACAGCCGAATTCTACCAGAGGTACAAAGAGGAGCTGGTACAATTCTTTCTGAAACTGTTCCAAACAACAGAAAAAGAGGGACTTCTCCATAACTCATTTTATGAGGCCAGCATCATCCTGATTCCAAAACCTGGCCAAGACACAACAAAAAAAGAAAATTTCAGGCCAATATCCCTGATGAACATCGATGTGATAATCCTCAATAAAATACTGGCAAACTGATTCAGCAGCACATCGAAAAGCTTATCCACCACAATCAAGGCAGCTTCATCCCTGTGATGAGAGGCTGGTTCAACATATGCAAATCAATAAACGTAATTCATCACATAAACAGAGCCAATGACAAAAACCATATGATTATCTCAATAGATGCAGAAAAAGCTTTTGATAAAATTCAAAACCCCTTCATGCTAAAAACTCTCAATAAACTAGGTATTGATGGAACATATCTCAAAATAATAAGAGCTATTTATGACAAACCCACAGCCAATATCATACTGAATGGGCAAAAACTGGAAGCATTCCCTTTGAAAACAAGCACAAGACAAGGATGCCCTCTCTCACCACGCCGATTCAACATAGTGTTGGAAGTTCTGGCCAGAGCATCAGGCAAGAGAAAGAAATAAAGGGTATTCAAATAGGAAGAGAGGAAGTCAAATTGTCTCTGTTTGCAGACGACATGATTGTATATTTAGAAAATCCCATCGTCTCAGCCCCAAAACTCCTTAAGCTGATAAACAACTTCACCAAATTCTCAGGATACAAAATCAATGTGCAAAAATCACAAGTATTCCTACACACCAATAATAGACAAGCAGAGAGTCAAATCCTGAATGAACTCCCATTCACAATTGCTACAAAGAAAGTAAAATACCTAGGAATACAACTTACAAGGGATGTGAAGGACCTCTTCGAGGAGAACTACAAACCACTGCTCAAGGAAATAAGGGAGGACAAAAACAAATGGAAAAAAATTCCATGCTCATGGATAGGAAGAATCAATATCGTGAAAATGACCATACTGCCCAAAGTAATTTATAAATTCAATGCTATTCCTATCAAGTTACCACTGACTTTCTTCACAGAACTAGAAAAAATGACTTTAAATTTCATATGGAACCAAACAAGAGCCTGTATAGCCAAGACAATCCTAAGCAAAAAGAACAAAGCTGGAGGCATCATGCTACCCGACTTCAAACTATACTACAAGGCTACAGTAACCAAACACCATGGTAGTGGTACCAAAACAGATATATAGTCCAATGCAACAGAACAGAGGTGTCAGAAATAACACCACACATCTACAACCATCTGATCTTTGACAAACCTGACCAAAAAAAGCAATGGGGAAAGGATTCCGTATTTTACAAATGGTGCTGGGAAAACTGGCTAGCCGTATGCAGAAAACAGAAACTGGACCCCTTCCTTGCACCTCACACAAAAATTAACTCAAGATGGATTAAATAATTAAATGTAAAACCTAAAACCGTAAAAACCCTAGAAGAAAACCTAGGCAATATCATTCAGGACATAGGCAAAGACTTCATGACTAAAACACCAAAAGCAACTGCAACAAAAGCCAAAACTGACAAATGGGATCTAATTAAACTAAAGAGCTTCTGCTCAGCAAAAGAAACTATCATCAGAGTGAATAGGCAACCTACAGAACGGGAGAAAATTTTTGTAATCTACCCATCTGACAAAGAACTGATACCCAGAATCTACAAGGAACTTAAACAAATTTACAAGAAAAAAACAACCCCATCAAAAAGTGGGTGAAGGATATGAACAGACACTTCTCAAAAGAAGACATTTATGGAGCTGACAAACATATGAAAAAAAGCTCATCATCACTGGTCATTAGAGAAATGCAAATTACAACCACAATGAAATACCATCTCATGCCAGTTAGAATGGTGATCATTAAAAAGTCTGGAAACAACAGATGCTGGCGAGGATGCGGAGAAATAGGAACGCTTTTACACTGTTGGTGGCAGTGTAAATTAGTTCAGCCATTGTGGACGACAGTGTGGCGATTCCTCAAGGATCTAGAACCAGAAATACCATTTGAACCAGCAATCCCATTACTGGGTATATACCCAAAGGATTATAAATCATTCTACTATAAAGACATATGCACATATATGTTTATTGCAGCACTATTTACAATAGCAAAAACTTGGAACCAACCCAAATGCCCATCAATGATAGACTGGATAAAGAAAACGTGGCACATATACACCATGGAATACTAAGCAGCCATGAAAAAGAACGAGTTCATGTCCTTTGGAGGGACACGGATGAAGTTGGAAACCATCACCCTCAGCAAACTAACACAGGAACAGAAAACCAAACACTGCATGTTCTCACTCATAAGTGGGAGTTGAACAATGCAAACACATGGACATAGGGAGGGGATCATCACACACCGGGGCCTGTTGGGGGATGAGGGGAAAGGGGAAGGAGAGCATTAGGACAAATATCTAACGCATGTGGGGCTTAAAACATAGATGACAGGTTGATAGGTGCAGCAAACCACCATGGCACATGTATACCTATGTAACAAACCTGCACATTAAGCACATATATCCCAGAACTTAAAGTACAATAAAAATAAAACAAAATTTTAAAGAAGAAATAGGCTGGGCACAGTGGCTCACGCCTGTAATCCCAGCACTTTGGGAGGCCGAGGCGGGTGGATTACAAGGTCAGGAGTTCAAGACCAGCCTGACCAATATGGTGAAACCCCATCTCTACTAAAAATACAAAAATTAGCCGGGCGTGGTGGCACGCGCCTGTAGTCCCAGGTACTTGGGAAGCTGAGGTAGGAGAATCACTTGAACCCGAGAGGCAGAGGTTGCAGTGAGCCAAGATCGCACCACTGCAGTCCAGCCTGGGTGACAGAGCGAGACTCCTTCTCAAAAAGAAAAAAAAAATGAAATAAAAGTTTACCAAGTACAAAAATATTCCTTAGTGAACTGACCCCTTATACAACTTAATACTATCCCCACTTGAATACTATCCATCCCAGTACCTTTTTGATCATTGCTGAATACTGTATAAGTGCAAACTGACTGAAGGGTTAAATTGCTAATCTTGCAAAAAGATAAAATTTCACAGAGCCAATGAAAGTGACGTTGGAAAAGTGCTCAGATTCCATGTAAAAAGCACTAATAAGTGAGGAATAGAAGAGTTATACCATTCAACAACTGCAGATATTTGACATGGATGATGACAAGCTAGGCACTCTAAATGAAAATGATATGAATAACAAAAGATTAAGAAAAAGTCTTGGGCCAGACAAGATGGTGTAGACTCGTTTCTCCCAACTGCTCCTCACTAAATATGACAAAATTTTGAAATAATACAAAAGACAGTCATAGAAGAACTCTGTAAAAAGAAAAATGGCTGATTTGCTAGGGGCCCTAGGACAAGGAGGACCAAAATAGTGGCAGGACATCTGAGGACCCTGCCTCCCAATCCATTAAAAGAAGGCAACCCAGGCCTGACCTCAAACCTAGGAACAGAAAATACCTGGGGCTATTTATTTTGTTGTTGTCATTTTTTTTTTTTTTTTTGATAACAACAAGCAAGCCTAGCATCACTAGCAAGGGGTAATGATGGGGAGGCCAACAGACAATAAGCAGCCAGGGAAAGCATTCTTCTTCCCCTCCAGATCTGGGACTCCCCTTCCCCAGTGAGAGATTCAGGTAGCCAGGTGGATAACAGAAAGGGGGATGCACCACAACCAGGGCTCAGGCTGGGAAGTGTTCCTCATTTTCACAGGCTGGGAGGTCCTGCCAAAACCCAAGAAGCCTCATTTTCCCCAATGGGCCAGAGATTCCCTTCTGCCTCCTAGAGGCACCAGATGGCCTATCCTGGGGAAGCTCATTCCCTGCTTTGGGCAGCACCAGCAGGGATCGGTAGGAACTCCAGCTAAACTAAGCAGACAAAAATAGTACTGCAAAATCTCTGAAAATTAAATTGTCACTGGAAGCACAGCTCACTACTGTAGGCTTGGAGCTGCATGCTAAACTTGAGTAGGGCAACTCCCTGCTAAAATAAAAGATCTAAATAAAACCCAGAGTTCCCTAGCATAATAACCAAAATGTTCAAGATTCAATAAATTTTTAAAAAATCAACACACCAAGAACCAGGAAAATCTCAACTTGAATGAAAAAAGACAATCAACTGAGAAAAATCAGACATTAAAATTATCTGAGAAGTTTAAATTGCATGTCATAAAATGCTTCAGAATCAATTAGAAATTATCTGGAAACAAATTAAGAAAAAAACCTTATAAAAGAAATAGAAGTTACAGAGCTACTCAGGAGACTGAGGTGTGAGGATCGCTTGAGCCTGGAAGGTCAAGGCTGCAGTGAGCTTTGATGGCACCACTCACTCCAGCCTGGGTGGCAGAGTAAGGTCCTGTCTCAAACATAAATAAATAAGATCCAACATCTGTATCACCAGAGATCTAGGAGAGAAGAAAGTAGAGCTAAAAGGGTATTCAAAGAAATAATGGTGAAAACTTCCTAAATTTGGCAAAAGACGTAAACCTACAGATTCAAGAATGTAAGTGGGCCAGGCATTGGTGGCTCACACTTATAATCCCATCACAGCACTTTAAGAAGCCGAGGGTGGAGGACTGCTTGAGCCCAGGAGTGGGGAGAGAGAGAGACAAGAGAGAGAGATGAAAGAGAGAGAGAGAGAGAGAGAGAGAGAGAGAGAGAGAGAGAGAGAGAGAGAGAGAGAGAATGAATTATAAAAATTGTCATTAGCAGACCTATGCATAAAGAATGGCTAAAGGGAGTTCTTCAAAGAGAAAAGATATGTTAAAAGATATGCTAAAATATTAAGAGTATCAGGAAGGAAGCAGAAATATGGGAACGTGTAAGTATCCTCATGAGTTTTATAAACCATATATACTAATTGAAGCAATAATTAGAACACCATCCAATATTCAAAGACAATGATACTTAAAAGTGGGGAAGGCAGAGGGTGTAAATGGAGAGTTTACTACCTGACATTTACTCAGAGTAGTAAAATGTTGATAAAAATAAACTGTGATGTCACATATGAATACTGTAATACCTATAGCAACCACTAAGAAAACTACCCAAAGAGATACACTCAAAAATACTATAAATAAATCAAGAAACAAACCTGAGGGTGAAATAAAGCAGTTCTCCATCCTTGTGCTCTGACCAGTGCTCCCTGCATGAGCAAAAAATTGAATTGAAGAGAGAGCTAGAGGTAAACACCACCATAGCAAGAGAAGACAGAGCCTTCAGATTGAAAAAGCTTTCCAGACTAAGCAACAGCCATGGCCTCTGCATACACTTCTTTGCATGCATATATGTACGTATTTGTGGAAGGGGGAGAATTAATCTGTACTATTATTTCCTGCATTTAACAGCCAAATGAAGAGTAAGTTTGTCCAAGATAATATACTGATAAGTTGGTATGTCATCTGCACACCTTTGCACACCCTTCTGAGTGCAATACTTTGGTCATCCATTTCTGAGAGAGGAAGGTGAAGTATTATGTAAATGTTATTTAATCCTGATGCTCATGATCAAGGCTCAATGTATTCTAGTTAAATTAAAGATGGATAGAGATATCAGATCAGTGGAGGATTCAAGTTTGATTCTCAGACTGACTCTCCATTTCCAAATCCACAGCTGCCTTAAAAGATGAGAAAAGAGCTTACCCATGGAAATTTAATATGTACCCCTAAAGTATTTCTCCTCACACATAAAGTGAACTTATTACTTTCTCCACAATATACTAGCAACACACGTGAAAGAGATTGAAAATTACAAAGAACCAAAAGAAACATATAGTACTTTTGTAGCTTATTTCCTAACACAGCTTGGAGATCTTTCCATATCTGTATATAAACAGCTCTTCATTCTTTCATTCTTTCATACAGTGACTCAACATTCTGTGTACTTATCTCAAGTATATGAATCACATCAATAATACTCATTTAGGGTATTTAAGTTGTAATTATATAGCACACCAGAAAGAAGCATAAATGTCAAAACCTAAATATTCAAGTGTATTCATAAATTCATCCTATTTTAAAATTTTATTTATAAATCATTTTCCTCAAAATTCCACCTCATACTTTATATTCTGCACTCTTATTTAAAAACCACACTGGTCAATTAGAACAATGTGACAGTAGGATACACCAGAGGGCTTATGTTTCTAATCAATAAAAAAGTCATGAATAAAAATAAAAATATGTATAAATAAAATAATTATAATAGAAATAAAAAGGAACCTTAAAAACTAACAAAATCTTCCAATAATTTTCCTAAAAAACATTATAATAAAATAATTCTCCAAAGTAAAATGTGAAGTGAAGGATATTGATTTGCAGTCACACAATTTTGTTCAGGGAAAAATACCACAAAAAGTTGTTAATAATTAGCTTAATAACTTTATTTTAATAACTAGTATATAGTTACAATTATAATGTAAATTTTGTTTAAAAGACTAAAAAGTTTATTTTCATAAATTTTCATTTAAGATAAATTCCCAATATCCTCTCCAGCAACACATGTATACATTATTTACTATGAAAATTTGACACTTGCTTTAAATAATTTAAAGTGGTCTTTTTTCAATGCCATTTGCTTTTGGATAAAACATCCCTTTATATTCTTGTATTTAAAATAAAGTCTAAGGCTAAGAAAAAAAAACTGGATAAAAATAAGAAAATGGACCTATTGTGTTTAAATGAATGTTCTTTATTGGTAAAGAAATACAATAAACACTAACATCTGAAGTGATAGGGTTTACAGGAAAGTATTAAGTTCCTTTTGGCTAAACAAAATGATACATCTAGAATTCTATGAACAGGAAAGCATTATTCAAAGAAATACTGTCTACATCTAGGGACTAATAACAATATCTGCGGTATCACTAACAGTCCAATAAATTGAAATAATAGGCTAGAGAGGATTAGTAAGCCAGCAACTCCATAATTTCCACTAGCAACTGACCTTGTTCACTGTGGACAACATATGTTCATAAAACACTGTGCTTGAAAAGCAATGCCCTAATGTTACATCACAGGGCAAAAAGTAATTACAAAAGTTTATATTAAAGACAAAATAATCAAGTATAAAAATCTGTGTAAAGGCAAATATTTTATGTTTTATTATAGGCTAAGGGATAGCAAGGCACCACAATGTTAAAAAATTTATAAAATAAAAATTTTAAATAAAAATACCATTCATCTGTTTTTAATAAGCTAGGAAAATACCTTTATTACCTTATTTCAGGGGCAGAACACCTCCATCCAGCTCAAGCTTTAAGAACCATGGTTTAGGATGCCATCAAGAGGATAGAGGTAAATAAAACTTAAATACTAGAGTATCAGTGCCTAACGTGTCCACATATTAGAATCATCACACAATCTTAAACGTATTCCTTACTCTTAGATTCTGGCATGTACTACTGTGATATATGGATGGTGTCCATGAGGTAGTGTCCTCAAAAGTCCCTTGGATAGAGAGTAATGTCTAACCACTTTGAACTAAAAATGTTTATTATAAGTTGCTTAAAATACCACACTACTACTTGGAAACAGTAATCATGCCTTTCTCAAAGAAAGATTTATTAAATAATAGAATCACTAAGTACCAGTGACAACTATCATTATTTTACACATATTGTGAGTGATTTATTGCATATTATTCTGCCAGTTGTATAACATCTTCACTAGTATTTACAATATATCTACAGTATGTAAACCATTGCACTAAACATACAACAGGCATGGACTCTGACTTTCCTTTTAAAAAAGCTTGGATCTGGGAAGAAAACCCACAAATGCTGACAGTAACTCTTATGTTCTAACCACCAGATACCACTTTACTTCAGAACAACAAACCACACACATAGCTTTCAAAATACTCTTTAGTTTGACCAAGGTTATGGTTATATACTATGCTAAATTATATGAATCAATATCCCTTAAGATTCAAACTATTTTGACATTTTGGTGACAAAATCTAAAAACATAGATAGAATAGGGTTTCTACTTTGTAAAGGTGAATAAGTAATCATCCTTAAATCCAGAAATTAGAGGCAAAATTTTTTTAAGACATTTCAATGAAAATTCCACATGAGAATGACAGGAAAAATACCTGTGGTTAACTGACTCAAGCTCAGTCACTAAGAACCTGTGTACTCATAAGGATACGGTTTCATAATCATAGATCCAGAGTCATTACTCATCTTACTCTTCTCTTTGCTTCCTCACAAAGACAAACTGGCCTTGAGTGTGAGAAACCAAATAAAAACTTGCCTGAGGCAGATAAATCATTCCAGGATGACAATCATCCTGGAAATGCAGACAAATCATACTGTTCATTGTAATCAAGCTACCAGTTGAAAACTCTAGATCACATTGAACTATATTTATATTTTGAGCAGAGGTGTGGGAAATTACTAACTACAGAAGGTATTTGACTAAGACTAAAATTTTATTTACATATATATATAGTGATTGCTAATAGGTACTTGAGGTGATCAAAGTGTGTGTGTGTGTGTGTATATACACACATACACACAGAAATATTTTACTGAATGAATACACGGATATAAAACAATAATAAAGTAGCAGCACCATTACATGTTCAGATAACAAATGGAAAATTTAATGTGACTTAAGGTCACAAAACACCAAATCATTATTCTGGAGGCAGAATACACTGTTTGCAAAATACAAGGGTAAATGCCCAGGCGAAATGAAAACATATGTTCACGTAAAAATTTGTTCATGAATGTTCATAGTAGCATAATTAATAATAGCACAAATGTGGAAACAACCCAAATGTCCACCAAATGATGAATGTATAAATGAAATATAGTATATCCATACAATAGAAAGTCAGTGATAAAAAGAAAGTACTGCTGCTATAACATGGAGGAGCCATGAAACCATTATGCTAAGTAAAAGAAGCTAGACACAAAATGTCACATATTGTAAAATTCCATTTATATAGCATCTATAAGCAAATCTATAGAGACAGTATATTACTGATTGCCTAGGTCTGATGGATGGGACCTTTAAGGGTAAACAGGAATTGCCTGCTAATAGGTATTTGGTGTAATGAAAATGTTCTAAAATTGTGGTGTGCTTGTACAGCTTTGTAAAAATACTAAAAATAAACTGTACAAAAGAATATTATGATTCCACTTATATGAGGTACTTGGGAATCGAATTCATAGAGACAGAAAGTAGAATGGTGGTTACCAGGGCCTAGGGTGAGGCAAGAATGGGGAGTTAGTGTTTAATGGGTACAGAGTTTCAGTATGTGAAGATAAAATAGTCTGGAGATGGATGATGGTGATGGTTGAACAACAATGTGAAGCTACTTATGCCACTGAACTGTACACCTAAAAATGGTTAAAGTGGTAAATTTTTTGGTATGTGCATGCTATCACAATAAAAAAGTAATTGAATTGTGTGTATTAAGTAGATGAAATACGTTATGTAAGTTATATCTCAAAAAAGCTGTTAAACAAAAATAAATAAGGTGTGTATGCAAGTATATGTAAAAGTAAGAATATTAAAGTTACCACCACATTGGTAAACTCCAAGTCTATACTCGTAAACCACTGGCTCTGTTAACAGACACTGGTTAGACTGGAATAAGATGTCCAGATGTGTTGAGGCTGGGATGCTAGTCTCAACATTCTCATTACTCTCCCACTATATCCCTAGCCTGTGTGATTTCACCCACTCCTGTGGCTTCAATGTCCATGGGCTGATGGCTTCCAAATGTATATCCTCATATGGGAACTAACCTCTGCTGCTAAACTCCTGCCCCTTTATTCCGCAATACTGCTTGAAGCGATGCTCTCAAGTTCCTGAAAAACTCTCAAACATCATGTGTTCAAAGTGGGCCCCCAAATGGAGGAGCACAGAATCATAAGAGACCTAGGACCCACAACTTACTAGCTGTGTAGTCTTGGAGAAGTAACTGAAACTTTCTGAGGCTCTAATTCCTTACTTTTAAAATGAGAATAACACTCCCTCGCAGGATTATTCGGAGGATTAAACCAGATAAAATGCATTTAAAGTACTCAGGGAGGCTGGGCGCGCTGGCTCACACCTGTAATTCCAGCATTTTCGGAGGCTGAGGCGGGTGGATCACCTGAGATCAGAAGTTCGAGACCAGCCTGACCAACATGGCGAAACCCCATCTCTACTAAAAATACAAAAATTAGCTGGGCTTGGTGCTGTGCACCCGTAATCCCAGCTACTCAGGAGGCTGAGGCAGGAGAACCACTTGAACCCGGGAGGCGGAGGTTGCAGTGAGCCGAGATCGCACCACTGGCCTCCAGCCTGGGTGACAGAGCAAGACTCTGTTTCAAAAAAAAAAAAAAAAAAAAAAAAAGTAGTGTCCAATATAAAATATCACAGATTAAGTTTTGCTCATAAGTAAAAGCTAGAGAAGCCTAGTGTTTTGTGCAAGTTATACCCTAAAGTTTTAAACAGTGAAATAAACTACCAATCATAATGCTTAAAGCAAACCCTTTCTGTTTTTTGTTTTCCTTTGTTTTTTAAGACTTCCTTGGAAAACAATGAGCAACTGAAAACCAAGGAATTACTAATCTTTATAGGCTTGAGAAGCAAAGAAATGACCCAGTTGCCACATGGATAAAAAATAACACTTGGTTGACTAGTAAAAATTTGGGGTGATTATTAGACATTCTACAGGTTTTTAGTGGCTAGTCTAAGCTCTTAAAATCCAGAATCTCTGATTTTTGGAAACCAAGTGTAACTGCAAATTCTAAAGCTGAGAGACAGGTACATGGTTATTACAGTATCATACCTCTACGAGGACCATCATAGTATATACTTATGAAGAGATAAATTCTATTATAGGTTGGGGTAGCTTAGCCCTCAAGATTATTAGGCATAATCTAAAAAACCAACAACTTTATAGCTGATGTAACAATTAGCTACCATGACCACACTGGGTCAGATCCTTTGCACCTAATATCTGAACAAAAGAGACTATCTTCTGGTTATCTGAAGGTTTGGTAATCAATAGCTTTCCAATTCCAGTATCTGGAAAATGAGCATTAAAAAAATACTGGTAGGCAGGAGAAAGTAGGATAACAACTAGATAATCTTTTTTGGAAAATTATTTCCAAATAATTTGGATTTTAAATAAATAAATTGCCTCAGAAACTTTATTCATTAGGATACTAGCTCTCGCCTATAAATTCACTTAATTTGCTAACTCAGTGAATTCAACTTTAATTACTTTCTCTTAGATAAGAAAATCAAACTAGTCAGTTATTTGGTAGTCTTTTGCTTGTGGGAAATAAGGGATGAAGAAAGGCTCACAACTGCAAAAGGTTAGAAAACCACTGATGTAGACACTAGGCCAGAAAGAAGTTACTGCCAAAAGAGAAAAGGAGACCTCTGCACAGGCACTTGATCCGGTCTTTATAATAAACAGTACATTTCAGTCTTAAGAGCTTAATCCCCCCTCACTTGCACATACATACCCATACACACACACAGACACACACACACACACACGCACACGAAGCACTTAGGAGATAGCGGAGTAACTGTTTTATAAATGTTGTTATGTTACTGGTAGGACACTATGCACTGTTTTTTCGTTACTGGAATCGAAATTCCTTGAAATAGCACCTTAAACTTAAACTCTGTATGTGCTTCCATATACATATTATTACATTTTATATTTCCTTAAGTAGACCATATATGTGTAAAATGCAGGGACACCTTCTCACAGCACCTCACACATTGTAGACAGTCAAAAATAGCTTGGTATACTTGCTAAAAACTGAAAGTGCACTATCAAAGTCCAAAAATGATTATAAATGCAAAAATTTAAAGTATTGCTTCTTTTATCAAATGCACACATGCTAACCATTGAGAGGAACTGATTGTAAGATTTTAAACTCTTAATTTCCTTTGACATTCTTTTACTTTGATCACCTTATGATCACCTGGCAAGGAAACAGACATACAAGTATCCAAGAAACTGAAACAACCAAGTCTTTCAAAAATTTTAATGGAATGTTAATAGAGGCACATCAAGGAGGAAGATTTTCCTCTAGGTAATTATCTATTTGCCAAGAGTAAGGAGAAAATATATATGTTTAAGAGTATCACTAAAATTCACTGAGCAAAGGAACATCTAGGGAGGACAGGGTTTATAGAAAATACTTAATTTTTGGCATACATTAATTTGGAAAATTACTTCAGTTTTCACTGAAATGATCTCATTAGCATTCTTCAACTTTATTTTAAAATAAATTAAATTATATTTCAATAACAAAATTCTTCAACAATTCTCACAGTTTTAGAAAGGGTTTAAACCTTTGATGATACGTTCAATCTCCTAATAATGAGAGGCTGAAATTTTCTTAATGGTAAGAGCTTCTCAAAAAATGATCTCAGCTGGTCATGAAGATACTACCAAGCTTCCAGTGCTAAGGTTTTTTAAAAAACATAGGCCCCAAGTCATAACCAAAATTGTTCACCAGATAAGGTCAACCATTTTTAAGGCAATCAGTTAAAAAAATTAAGCACTGTGGGCTTTTTGGCTTTAACAATGCTATAATCAATATGAAATAATTTTTAAATTTTAAAAAGTCCCAAATAAGATTTTTAAAAATTTGACAATTCTATTGTCTTAAATGAATCAAACACAAATTTCTATTTTGTCATCTAAACAAATATTCAAGATTTGCATGCTTGGCTTCCATATTCAAATGGAGTATTTTATGATACAAGCAAATTAAAATCCCAACTTTTTAAGAGCTATCAGTGTAATTCTGCTCTACATTTCTCACTAATAACATTAATTTAAAAATAATGTTTATGAAGAGATAACAGTAGAAATACATTTTAAATTCTCAACAGTCATGACAAATTACTTGAATATTTTCCCCTCCAAATTGCACTTAACCTGGAAAAGTAGATCAGTGGAGACAAATGAGCATTAAAAATAATTTTTTCACATGTGCTCCAAAATTGAGTTCAAGAATTAACAACATAAAAATATTCCTTAATTAACCAAATCCATTCACTTCTTGCTATTACTATAAGTCATTAAAAGGTTTCTGAAGCAGTGATGATCACTTTTTTAAAATTGTGCTAATTAAATATATTTGTTTTATAATGAGAAAATGAAATGTTTCACCTGATTATAAAACAAATAATTAAAATTTCAACAGTAACTAAATCTGAGCCATCCCTTTTTTCCCCTTATTCATTGCAATATACCTTCTCTTACTGGCTCATTGGTTGATTCTCCTTTTAGATTCAGCATCCTGGAGAAGCCATTGGAAAGAGTAGAGAAAATGCCACGGATGAAATATCCCTGCTGCTCAGACTCCACTGACCCAAGTGAAGTTGGCCACAGTCTAACAAATGGGATACTGCAGCGGGGTTCTGGTTCTGAAACAGATCTGGTGAATGGTGCTCGAAGTGATCGGCTGTTGACCAGGTGTGGCTTCTCTGTTGATGTTCCAAGGACCTCATCAGCAGAGGAAGAAGCATTATTACTAACCATCTTTGGCAGGATGACCTTTTGTTGTTGTCGTTCAACCAGGTCTCCTTTATTACTCTGCAATCTCTCCCTTTTGTTCCCTTTCCACCTAAAACTCGGATGTCTCTGCCACCGATAAGCACCCAGTGGCTTTCCCAGATTGGAAACAGCAGAATCATTTTTCTTCCTCTTGCTTTTCACTGGACCACACCATGGATAACTCTTTAAACTTGTTCCTATCTCTGAATCTGCATAAGCAGGTTCTGACAAAGATCTTCGATAGCTTGGAGGACAAGGTGATGTTTGTTTCTTAAAGATGCTCATCTTCCCTGACTCCAGTCTTTAACAGTCTCTCTAAACTTTAAGATTCCTCTACTCTGCAGTCTTTGCAGTTGAACCACACATGTCTGTGCAGTCCAAAACATTTGACTGCTTAAGCAGCTTTCTTTGTGTGGCTTTGAACCACAGCAGATGTTGCTGCTTAAGAGCTGGTGTCATGTTATTACGCCATTTTCCAAGATCTCAAAAACTTCAGCAGCACCTAAAAACCTCTTGCCTGAAGCAAAGTATCATCAGAGTAGAGACAAAGTCAAGATTTCCAAAGGATCACCTCACTTCCTGCAGTAGGTTACATTTCTGTAATAGGCTTTCGGGAAATGATTTTTTTAAGTGAAATAAAAACAACAACAACCCACCAACACCTTTATGGACCAGTAGTAGTTAAGTGTTCACCATGCAAATGATAGCGAGTTAAAAACAGATTGTGAAGAAAATCAAATTACTCAAGCTGATATTGATACTTTCCAGAAGAAGAAAAAAAACCTTGCCTAGTCTTGGAGTGACAACTCTTCAGAAGAGTTTTGATGGCCTGCATTTCAGAAGTTTAATTTCAAGCAAATCAATGCTATTTATACTACATCTCTCAAAGTTAATATTGTTTTTCAACCAATAGGTAAAATTCAAACTGGTACTGTAAGAGGAGGAAAAAAGCCAAAAGAAAGCCAACACCATTTTTAGTGTAAATATATTACACTATGAAGAATTTAAAAAGCATAAATAGGAAGAAAAAGAGCAGAGGCAGAGGGTATTTGCTATAAACTACAGCAAAGGAAAAGGAAAATCTTGAGGCAAGATCTTGTGGCAACTGGAACATAGGAATGTACATACTTAAAAAATTTCTGGAAGAAGAAAGTTTGCTATATAAATCCAATTGGGATAAGTTGGCTGGAAAAATATTCCCTATCTGTTTAACCAAAGAAATTCCTTTATTCCTCTTTGTGCTCCTTACAACTTTAAAAAAGAGCTGACTACTTAAAATTTGTTAAAGCAAGTACCTTATACTGAACCAAGATCATGAATGCCAAGTTTTTGCTGGTTAAGTTCTTTTCAACTGCCTGCTCATAAACCCCTGAAAATAGGGGTTTCAAATGGAAAGCCTCACAGACTTCAGACTACCAATAAAACAGATATAACAGTGCAATCAAAGTCACTCTGCAAGTTGTTTTAAAAATGATTTCATCTGGCAAACTAAAAAAACTATCCACTTATTTGTAGAATGTTTTACAATGAAAAACAGGTCTCACACTAAGTCTTTTTCTTATTATGGTCGAAATCGTAACGAAAACCAACATACCTATTCCTTTAAACATATTACAATGTTCTATTTATCACTATTATCATCAACCAATAACTGCATTTTGATTTGTTTATATAGTCTCTAAATCTACATATTTGTATATTAAAGAAATGAAGTATTTGGCTTTCTCAAAAACATATCAAATTAGAGAATCTTACAATTGTACATTTTCCCCTTATTTAAAAGAAAACCTAGAATGGTGAATTTGCACAAGGAAAGGAACAATAAATATCAAGTTCTAATCTCTATTTATGGCACATCACATCATTCACAAAAAATAATCTGTGAGGAGAAAAAAAGACCTAAATGTAGAGTATAAAATTATAAAGCTTGTAAAAAAAAACTGTGAGTGAGTATTTTTGTGACCTGAGGGTAGGCAAAGATTTCTTAGGACACAGAAAGCAAAACTAATACAGGAAAATGGTAATAAGTATGATTTCATAAATTTAACAACTTCTGTTCAATAGAAGACATCATTAGGAAAATCAACATGCAAGCCACAAAATGAGAAAAAATATTCACAATACAAACATTTCAAATAATTTATACCAGAATATACAAAGAACTTCTATACCTTACTGGTAAAAAGAAAAACCAATTTTTTAAAAAGTCAGTAAGAGTTGAACAAACTCTTCACGCACACAAAAAAATATTAAAGGCCAACAAGCATATGAAAAAAGAATTAATCTTGTTACAGTAGGTATCTAGTCAGACATGAACAGGACAGGAGAGGGCCCACCCCACCAGGAATGTCAGGTGACCACCAGGCATGTCAGGTGACCACCAGGTGATGGTCAGGCAGTTGTTAACTGTCTCTCTAAAATAGTAATTGGTTGCAGCCAGCACCAGGGAAAGGCAGTTTCCCAACAGATAGAAACACATGAAACTGGTGATCAGCAGCTTCCCGATAAGATCTCAGGAACTGGGTGAATGGGCTCAAGCATGCACACAAAAGGCAAAATGGCAGAGTTTAACTGGTATATGACCTTCTGAGGACATTCCACCGGTAAAGAGAAGAACGCCTCAGGTAAGCATGTGTACAACTCCAGTAAACACACTGCGCACACTCACTTCCCAAGTGCTAGCAGGCCCCTGTGCATGCGGGCAGCCTACCCCAAGGGAAGAATCAAAGGGAAAGGGACACAAGACCCCAGAAGCATGCCAACATATAAAACCCTAAGTCCATGATCGAATGGAGACATCTGTCCTCCAAGATGTCCACTTGGCCCTCTTCCAAGTGTATTTTACTTCCTTTTCATTGTTGCTCTAAAGCTTTTTAATAAACTTTCACTCCTGCTCTAAAACTTGCCTCGATCTCCTCTTCTGCCTTATGCCCCTAAATTCTTTCTTCTGAGGAGGCAAGAATTAAGGTTGCTGCAGGCCTGTATGGGTGCACCACCAGTAACTCAGATACCCACCACTGATAACAATCTCATTAGTAATTGGGGAAATGCAAATTAAAGCCATAATGAGATATTACTCACATCCACTAGAATGGCTCACACTTAAAAGGCTGATAAAACCACATGCTGGTGAGGATGTAGAGTAACCAGAACTCTCATGATTGGTAATGGGAGCACAAAATGGTACAATTTCTATGGAACATGTTTGCAGTTTTTTAAAAAAAGTTAAGCATACATCTGCCCTATGAACCAGCAATTCCACTTACAGGTATTTACTCAAGAGAAATTAAAAATATATATACTTGTACCTAAATGTTCACAGCAGCTTTATTTATAATAGTCATAAAATAAAACGACCCAAATGTACATCACAAAAGAATGTCTAAATACATTGTGGTGTTTTCATACAATGGAATACTACTCAGCCATAAAAAGAATGAACTACTCATTCACAAAACAATGAGGATGCATCTCACAGATATTATGCCAAAAAAAGACCCTAGACACTAGAGTATACACTGTATGATTCTATTTATACAAAGTTCTAAACCAAACCAAACTAATCTATAATAGAAAAAAAATATCAGAAAAGCAGTTCTCAGTGGTAGATGGCATTATTATTAACCAGAAAGGAGAACCAGGAAGCTTTTGGTGATGGAAACTTTCTAAGCTTTGATAGGGATCTGGATTATGAGGGTTTAAGTATTTTCAAAACTCATCCAAATGTTCCCTTAAGGTTTACCATTTCATCATAATTAGATTTTACCTTGAAAACTAAAAGCAACACTGAACTCTATCTAGTTAGCAGATTTGCTTAATCAGTGTTATAGATTAGCCAGTCAGAAACCACTTTCTGTGTATTATTGGCTTGAGGAAAGGAGTAAATACATTGAAGAGAATGAATGAATCAATCAATCAATGAGCAAGTGACTAAATGGCAATACTGGAACAAACTGACATTATTTGCCTCCTGATATGATTGATGAACAGTGAGGGATACAACATCATTTGTGTGTCATTCCTGCAAAAAAAATGCATAGCCTACATCTAATCATGAGCAAAATCAGACTGGTACCCCCTCCCAATAAAAAAAAAAAAAGTTCTACAAAATAACCATCCTCCTTGCTTCAAAAATGTCAGGATCAGGACAAAGAAAGATCATGGAATTGTTCAGTTTCAAAGAGACTAATGACAGACAATTTAAAGCAATGCATGATTTTGGATTGTATCATGAACTGGGGAAAAACAGTTATGAAAGACATTATTGGGACAACTGACAAATTCTGAATGTGGATTATGGGTTAGGCCATTATCTAATTACAAAAATATTAAAATTTTCATTTTAATAATTTTACTATGGTTATGTAAGAGAAAGTTATCATATTCTTAAGGTACTCACAGAAGGATTTAGGGATAGAGGGTCACAATGTTTCCAACTTATTCTCAAATGACTCAGGAAAAACTGCATATAAAGGTAGATAAAATATGATAAAGCAAATGGGGCAAACTGTACACAGTTGTTGAATCTAAGTAAAGGATTTATGGGAGTTTATTGTACTATTGCAAATTTCTATAGGTTTGAAATCACATTAAAATAAAACAATACGCAAGTAAATATTTTTAAATTTTACAACCTCTTCCTTTGAGTCTATAATATAGATTTTTATAATTAATACTGTAATGTTCCCTCTTTGAGAGTATCTTTTGAGTAGTATAACAAAATATCTTGCTTCATAGATTTTATGAGGGAGAGAAGTTAATCAAGATCACCCTATTAAGATATCTTAGTGGAAAATTAAATTAGAGCTATAATTTTGAGAAAAGTTGCAAACTGGGAATAGAATTTGAGTCCTGAAATCCACATGGTAAAATTCAGAGACTCCTTGTTAAATGAGTCTTATACCAAGAGGTAAGGTTAAAGGTAACAAGGATTACGGTATTTTGTAAACCATCAACACAATTGTTTCGAAAAACTACCAAAATTCTTTTTTTCGTTTCCCCGGGACGGAGTCTCGCTCTGTTACCCAGGAGTGCAGTGGCACGCTTGGCTCATTGCAACCTCCGCCTCCCCAGTTCAAGCAATTCTCTGCCCCAGCCTCCCAAGTAGCTGGGGTTACAGGCACCCGCCACCACACCCGGCTAATTTTTTTTGTATTTTAAGTAGAGACGGGGTTTCACCATCTTGGCCAGGCTAGTCTTGAACTCCTGAACTCGTGAACCACCTGCCTCGGCGTCCTAAAGTGCTGGGATTACAGGCATAAGCCACCGCACCCGGCCCACAATTTTTTTTACCATAAGCTTCCCTATTTAATTCAGAAATATGGAGATGGAAAATATTAAATAACAGAAACAAAATCAAATACAATTAGAAGGCAGAAAGAACCATGGACTGAGGAAGACACACTACACAAGCAAGAATCAAAGAAATAAAGGTGAAGACTCAGATCTGTCACGGCTAGCTAAAATTTAATTTGACAAGTGCTCAAAATTATGTTCTATTATTAACGAAAGCCTAATATCACTCACGTTAGTTATTTCTCTAAGCTTTATCCTTAATCTAACTTTAAAACAATAACTTGACACTTCATTTTCTGAATTTTCTCAAATATATATAATGAATTTAGGAATTTTAAAGAAAATATTCACAGGATGTATAATCTCTTAGAAACAATGATACTAGAACCACTGGATTACTACATTCATTAAGAATTCTTTCTACTATAAAAGTTGGCTGCTCATTGAAATGTCAGAACAAGAACATTTCTGCCACTTCCAACAGCAACTACTTACTTTTACATTTTTTAAACAACAATTTATAACATTTAAAGCACAGCTTTAAGAATCATTCTGGTTGCTATGTCAAAATGACATTTAAATTCTCTGAATAAATATGCAATTACTTAAATTCACAGAATCATATTTCAAATAGTTATTGAGCACCTACCTATCAGGCACTATATTAGGACTAGAGGAACAACAACAACAACAACAAAAAACAACCAGACACTGTCCCTGTCTTCCTGGAACTTCCCATTATCAGGAAAGGCTTACATAAGGAAGGGGAAAATGTAAGGTGTTAGGGAAGTGTGTAGTAAGGGGATTTTTACAAAGTATAAAGTGTAAAGGATGGAGGCAATGTCTTTTGAGAGTCTTATGATCTACAGTCAATTCTGCCATAATGTAACATGAATTCTTTAAAATTCCCTGCACTAAGCAAAACTGCACCCTAAAACCACAGGGCTTACAGGGAAGATGGAGTTAGGGGAATAACATTCAGAAACTTAGACAACGACATGTAAGACAAGACGCTAAACTGTAGCACCATTTTAAATGGCTAAGAAACACATAAATACAAAAATAAATAGGGTGTTTTTTTTTTTTAAACTGGAAGTTTGCTTGTGAAAGTAGGCATCAGAATGGTTGCAGCTTTTGATTTTTTCTGAGGTGGTAGAAGGAGGGTTACCTGAAGTGTACAGCAAGTAATGCTGTAACACCACAGGTGGGCAGGTATGGCTTTAACATGTGGAGAACTCAGGCAGCTGGTAGTTGAGATGTATGTATTTTGAGTATTCTTATGTAGCTTGCTTCAGCTGGATACAGTTGTGGGGTTTTGTTTGTTTGTTTGTCTGTTTGTTTTCTGAGACAGTCTCATTCTGTCACCTAGGCTGGAGTGCAGTGGCATGATCTTGGCTCACTGCAACCTCCACCTCCCGGGTTCAAGTGATTCTCCTGCCTCAACCTCCCGAATAGCTGGGATTACAGGCACATGCCACCACACCTGGCTAGTTTTTGTATTTTTGTAGGGACGGGCCATGTTGGCCAGGCTGGTCTTGAACTCCTGGCCTCAGGTGATCTGCCTGCCTCGGCCGCCCAAAATGCTGGGATTACAGGTGTGAGCCACCGTGTCCAGCCCTGGATACAGTTTTCTGTATTCAGTTAGTAATTCTTACAGACAAATGGCATATAAGTCAACACAAAATTCACATAATGCTTAAATTTTTCCTTAATATCAATTGTGTAGTACAAATCTGTGTTTTCAAAGCAAGTATTACAACACAACCGTTTTTTCTCTTCTCTTCCACATAGCTGGTGTGGTAAAAACCAGGTAAAAATCAACAAAAGACTCTACCATTGCAAGGCACAATAAAAACAGGGAAAATGGCTTTTATCCTTAGTAAATTCAGCTCTTTAGTTCAAACATTTGTATGTTTTTCTTTTCTTCCTCTTCTCTTAATCAGAACAACAAGAAGCAAAGGACCAAACTCATGATGTGGGCACAAAGAAACATGCCCCCCCAAAAAACAATGCAACAAATCTGCTTCCAGACCAGTGCTTCTCACATTATAATGTGTGAATGAATTACTATACTAGGAGATCATATTAAGATGCAGATTTCAATTTACTACTCCGCCTGAGATTCCACATTTCTAAGCTCCTAGATGATAACTATGCTACTGGTCCACGGACCGAATTGTGAATAACAAGCTGTAGATAGATCTTAAACTAAAAGAACTAAGTTCTCAAGGTTCCTCTGTAATTCAGTCAAGTTCACCAAAAGAGAAAACTGTATCAAGATTTCGGGGCAAAATGAGAACATTTGCCTGAAATGTTCTGTGAGATTGTAGAGACCTACGCAGTGCTCATGATAGTGTGCTAAGAATCAAAGATACAGTAATCCTAGCCAAACCTCCTTGAAGACAAAGATTATCTATAGCACATAAAGAAAGCACAATAAAAAATTCAACAATCTTTTGCACTTACATTCTTATGAGTTAGCATATACATATATACAGGATATATATATATATATATGTATGTACAGTATGAAAGGAAAGGAGGCAAATGCTAATGACCATCAATAGAAAAGTGACTAAATAAATCATAGTACATATATATACATACAAAAAGAAACACACATATATTTATACATGCTACAAAGACACACATGCTTTTATAACAGTGATTACTTGTGAGGAGTATAGCTAAGAAATCACCTTAGACCTCTGGTTTTAAGTTTTAACCATGGCTATATACTACATTCATAACAGTGACAAGAAAAAAATGTAAGAGATAAATGTATATGGAAAGGAATCCAAGAGACAAGATAGAAAGGTAAAATATACCATAAAAAGTAGACCATGATCCTACTTTTATTTAAAATAATGATTAATATATCAGTATGTACACGGTAGAATCATATGCATCAAGAAAAAATGTGTTGTTATTTTCTTTCAGGGTAGAATTTCATTTTTTATATTATTAATTTCTATCATATATCAAATTTTATAAGTATGTGTTTTCATTCCTTTTGAAAGCAGAAAAGTTAAGTAAAAATATATATATTTAAAATCCACAGCAAAAATAAAAGCCTTAACACTAATCTACAGAATCATAATTATAGAACAGAGAACTAGACAAGTCATCACAGACCAACTTCACTAAGTCTCTCATATTATAAATAATCCAACAAAGCCAGACAAAAGGGACCTGTCCCTTAGAAGTTAACAGCAAAAATAAAAAAACACAAGTATATCCTAATTTCCAGTTCAGGATTCCATGACCTGCTTAAATTAGCATTTTCTAAACTATGATCCACAGAACATAATTGAGAAATTCAGGCTTAAAGAGCATAGTTGTGGCACTAACTCTTAGATATTCTAGGATTAGTGTAAATGCTAAAAGTCTTTTAAAAAGTTTAAAATAGGATATCAGTTTCTCATTAAAATGTGTTTATTAGGGAAACAAGTAGAGATGAAAAGGGAAAACATGAGCTTTCTCAGCTTAGACATAGTCTGTTGTCACTTCCTATTTTATGACACAACTTTTCTATACGAATATTCTATTTTATTATATGTATCCCACTTGCTCTTTTGTATTAGAATACATGATAGATGCTACGGTTAACAAAGAGAGTTCTAGAATTCTGTTACTAGAACAAGTGACTACATAGCTCTTAGATCAACTCATAAAAATCTTTAAAAATAGAACTCATTTATATTAACCAGAAGATGACATCTTTCAAAAGTACAAAGTCCTTGTTTATACAAAGCTAAATAATTAATAACAAAACATCCTCTTCCCATTTCCTATCACTGGAGCACATATGCTTCCCAATGAAACACTTCCTGCAGTGAAAACTACCTTTCTTCTAAGTATCAGAAGTGAAAGGCACACCTGACATGTACACAACCGCTTCTCATTTAAGAGACAAAGATACGTCTAGAAGGGCCAAATAAAGATTTTTTAAGTGTTGGAATAAAAGATTTATTTAAATAAGAAATCATTTTTAAACAAAAACAAAAACTCCTAAAACCATAATGAACACCTTTAAATATTAAAAAAAAAAAAAAAATTCTAGTTTTCCCCTAACCTCTGATCACACTTCTGACTGGTTCAATCAGAGGTTCAATATTTTCTATCTAGTCTCTAAGTGTTGGGAGACTTTGAAAGCTGGATCCTTGACATCCTCTGTCCATATTCTCACCATGCATATCATCATTCACAATTAACACATCTACTTATATCTCCAGTTCATACTTTGTCTTCTTTGAGCAACATACTCATATATTCAATTTAACACTTAATAGCTATCTCAAGTTCAAAACGTATAAAACCTACACTATGATCTTTCTTTTAAAATCTGGTCTTATTCTAGTGTTCCTTATCCTAATAAATGGGACCACATTCATCCAGCTATACAAGCCCCAAACCTTAGTTATCACCATCTCTCACCATTCAATATCCAATATCTAATGAATCTTACTCATTTCCCCTCCTGAGTATTATCCAACCTATCTACTTCTCACCATTCTCCCCTAAATGAATCTACCATCATCTCTCACCTGGATTACAAGAGCCTCCTAAATTTATCAACCTACATCTACTATGACCACCAAAAAACATTTTTCCTACTGTAGTCAGAATAATCTTTTCAAAATACAAATTTACCTCATCTTGTCTGGAACTATTCAATGGTTTCCCACTTACAATCAAGACAAAATTCTTGATTTTGGTATGAGCCTACTCATACCCACTCTACCCTTGTAAGGCTCCCTCATAAAGACATACTTGAATTCTTTCAGTTCTTCACACCTGTCACTCTCCTTCCCACCACAGGGCTCTTGCTCATCCTGTTCTCTGCAACTGGATGGTATACGATCTTCCTTCCATCATTATCATGCTTCAGATTTCAGTTCAAGTGTCACTTCCTCAGGGAAGTCTTTCCTGACCCCTCTGACCAGGTCAAATCTCCCTATTACAGGCCTTTACAGCCCAATGCATCTCTCCATCACAGCTGTGGCGTTGTAATTGTATATTTCCTCGTGAAATTATCAATCAATGCCTGTTTTACCCACTAGGCTATAACATCCATGTTTGTTTTGATTCTCCATAGTGTCTCAAGTGCTTAGCAAATTGTAAGCACACAATAAATATTTGTTGAATTAATTAATAAAAAGAGAGAGATCTAAAATAAAACTACCTAACTTCAGACTAGTAATGAGAAAGTCAGTAAGCACCTATTTGAGTTTAACATTATCTCTGATACCATGAAGATTACATCAAAATACAGATCATGGGTGAGGAAGCAGTTAAATGCACTACAGGGAGTCATTTTCTCTATACCAAGTAATTTTTTGTTTCTTAAAGGATATGGACAGAATATTAAAAAAGGAAAAAAGAATAATGTGAAACAGGAGGATAAGGAGAAGGCAAGAAATACTACTAAAATTGTTAAAGCAATTTTCTTCCCAGAAATGCCAATTTAGTAGATGTACAAACTATTATCTGGCCTGTTCAAGTTTTTTATAATTATTATTTTTAACATTAGCATCACAATTTAGGGAAATTTTTAAAGCATAAAGAGATATCCACAAGCTCTTAACAAGCTTTATATGTTCTTTAATGAATATATACTTAGAAAATAAATATTCTCATAACCTGAAACAAATATCAACATTGGACATCTGATAAATAATCAGGCAATCGGTTCTAAGATAGAACTTTAAGCATCAAAAATTGAGGATTCCAGAGAGAGATTAGGAATATTTTCTTATTATAAGATACATGCAGTATCTGTAAAATGATACAGTGTTATTTGAAACTAGACTTGAATTAATCGTAAATGTATATTGCAAACTCAAAAGCAAACAATTTAAAAAGTTAAAAAAAGATAACTGACATGCTAAGAAACAAAAGAAAATGGAGTGAAACAAAATGCTCAATTAAACCAGAAAATGTAGAAAATGGGTGGAAGACATATAAGGAAAAAAGAACAAAGGCAATGAATACAAATAGGAAGTAATATGGTAGATATTAATAATCCAAATATATCAATAATCACTTTTACACATCGATAATCTAAATCCAATTTAAAAATAGAGACCGTTAGAATAAATCACAAAACAAAACCTAACTATACGTTATCTACAAGAAATACATTTTAAATATAAAGACACACATAGATTAAAAGTAAATGGAGAAAGCTATACTGTGCTAACACAAATCAAAAGCTGGAATCACTATATTAACTTCAGCACAGCAGACTAGAGAAATAAAAATTATCAGGGGTAAAGAAAGGATAAAGGAGTCAATTCTCCAAGAAAATTTAACAATCCTTAATGTGTATGCACTTAACAACAGAGCATTAAGAGATAGGAAGCAAAAATTAAGAGATGCCAACGAGAAATACATGAATCCAGTATTACAGTTGGAAATTTTAACAGCCCTCTTATCAGAAATGGACAGATCCAGTGGGCAGAAAATCGGTGAGAATATAGTTGATCTCAACAGCACCGGCAATTCACTGAATATACCTGACATCTACAGACTACTTCATTCAACAACAGCAGAACACACATTCTTCTCAAGCTCACATGGAACATTCATCAAGATAGGCCACATTCTAGGTCATAAAACACACCTTAACAAATTTAAAATAGAAATCATACCATGTCTGCTCTCAGACTACACCAGAATTAAACTAGAAATCAATAACACAAAGACAGCTGATAAATCCTCAAACACATAAAGATAAAGCAACACACTTTCAAGTACATGTTATCAAAGAAATCTCAAGAGAAATTTAAATATATTGCAAACTAAGTAAAAATGATGATATAACTTATCAGAATTTGTGGGATGCAGTGAAAACTGTACTTATAGGGAAGTCTATAACATTGAAATGCATATCTTAAAAAAAGAAGGTCTAAAATCAATAACTGAAGCTTCTACCTTAGGATACTAGAAAAACAAAAGCAAATTAAATACAACGTAAGTAGAATAAACAAAATTAGAGGAGAAATCAATGAAATCAATTAAAAATGGGCAAAAATCTCAACAGCCTCCTAACCAAACAAGACATACAAATGGTAAATAAGCATATGAAAAGATGCTCCACAAAGTATTTCACTAGGGAATCAATCACAAGTTCAAACAACGACATATCATTACAAACCTATTAAAATGGCAACAATCCTAAACACTAAAACCACCAAATGCTGGCAAGGGTGTGAAGCAACAGGAACTCTCATGCACTGCTGGTGGGAACACAAAAATGGTACAGCTACTTTAAAAGACGATTTGGCAGTTTCTTTAAAAACTAAACATACTCTTAACGTACAATTCAGCAATCGTACTCTTTGGTGTTTACCCAAATGAGCTGAAAGCTTATGTCCACACAAAAACCTCCACATGAATGTTTATAGCAACTTTATTCATAATTGCCAAAACTTGGAAGCAACCAACATGTCTTTCAGTAGACAAATGGCTAAATAAACCTTGGTACATCCAGACAACTGAATATTATTCAGTGCTAAAAAGAAATGAGCCATCAAGCTATGAAAAGACATGGAAGAACCTTAAATACATATTACTAAGTTAAAGAAGCCAATCTGAAAAGGCTACATACTGTATGATTCCAACTACAGGCATATCTCATTTTTTTAGCACTTTGCAGATATTGCATTTTTTATAAAATTAAGGTTTGTGGCAACCCTGTGTCAATCAGGTCTGTTGGCACCATTCTTCCAGCAGCATGTGCTCGCTTTGTATCTCTGTATCACCCGTAGTAATTCTCACATTACTTCAAATTTTTCATTACTATTGTATCTATTATGGTAATCTATGATAAATAATCTTTGATGTTACTACTGTAATTGTTTGGGGGCACCACAAACCTACGTAAGATAGCAAACATAACCAATAAACCCTTATGTGTTCTGACTGCTCCATCAACTGGCCATTCCTTGCCTCTTTTCTTCCCCTTGGGCCTCCCTATTTGCTGAGACATGATGATGTGGAAATTAGGACAATTAGTCATCCTATATGTTAGTCTACTTTGTGTCTCTATAAAGGAATACCTCAGGTTGAGTAATTTATTTAAAAAAGAGGTCTGTTCAGCTCAAGGATCTGCAGCCTATACAGGCATGGCACAGCATCTGTTTTGCTTCTGGTGACAGCCTCAGGAAGCTTACAATCATGGTGGAAGGCAAAGGGGGAGCAGGCATATCACATGGTGAGAGAGAGAGAGTTAAAGAGAGGAGAGGACATACCACACTCTTTTAAACAACAATATCTCGTGTGAACTCAGAGCAAGAACTCACTCATTACTGAGAGGAGGGTACCAGCCATTCACGAGGGATCCACCCGCCCCTATTAGTCAGACACCTCCCACTAGGCCTCACCTCCAACATTGGAGGTCACATTTTAACACAAGATTTGGAGGGGATGAAACATCCAAACCATATCACCCTACAATGGCATTTAAGTGTTCAGGTGAAAGGAAGAGTCACATATCTCACTTTAAATCAAAAGCTAGAAATGATTAAGCTTAGTGAGGAAGGCAAAACAAAAGCTAAGATAGGCCTCTTACACCAAACAGCCAGGTTGTGAATTAAATGGAAAAATTATTTTTCTTTCTTTCTTTCTTTCTTTTTTTTTTTTTTTCCTGAGGCAGAGTCTCACTCTGTCACTTAGGCTAGAGTGCTATGGCGCGATCACAGCTCACTGCAGCCTTGACCAACGATGCTCCCACCGCAGCCTCCTGAGTAGAGGGGACTATGTGCGTGCACCACCAAGCCTGGCTAATTTTTCTACTTTTTGTAGAAATAGGGTTTGTTGCCCAGGCTGGTCTCAAACCCAGAGCTCAAGCGATCCACCAGCCTCAGCCTCCCAAAGTGCTGGGATTACAGGTGTGAGCCACCACACCTGGCCTGAAAAGTTCTTGAAGGAAATTAAAAGTGCTACTCTCCAGGCATCACATGAAATATAAGAAAGCAAAACAATAAAGCTTGAGTGGTCTGAATAAATGATCAAACCAGCTATATTTCCTTAAACCAAAGCCTAATCCAGAGCAAGGCCCTAACTCTCTTCAATTCTATGTAGGTTGAGAGAAGTAAAGAAGCTACAGAAGAAAAGTTTGAAGCTAGCAGAAGTTGGTTTATAAGGTTTAAAGAAATAACCCATCTCCAGAACATAAAAGTACAAGGTAAAGCAGCAAGTGCTAATGCAGAAGCTGTACCAAGTTATCCAGAAGATCTAGCTAAGACCATTGATGAACACTAAGAACACTGATGAACACTGTACACTAAACAACAGATTTTCAACATAGATGAAACAGTCTGCTATTGGAACAAAATGCCATCTAGGACTTTTCATAGCTAGAGAAGTCAGTGTCTGGCTTAAAAGCTTCAAAGGATAGGCTGACTCTGTTGTTAGGGGCTAATACAGCTGGTGACTTTAAGTTGAAGCCAATGCTCATTTTCTATTCCAAAAAATCCTAGGGCCCGTATGAATTATGCTAAATCTACTCTGACTGCACTCTATCATTAAAATAACAAAGCCTGGATGACAGCACATCTGTTTTAAGCATGGCAAACTGAATTTTTTTTTTGAGACGGAGTCTCGCTCTTGTCGCCCAGGCTGGAGTGTAATGGCGCATCTTGGCTCATTGCAACCTCCTCCTCCAGGATTCATGCAATTCTCCTGCCTCAGCCTCTCGAGTAGCTGGGATTACAGGAGTATGCCATCATGCCTGGCTAATTTTTGTATTTTTAGTAGAGAAGGGGTTTCACCATGTTGGCCAGGCTGGTCTTGAACTCCTGACCTCAGGTAATCCGCCCGCCTCGGCCTTCCAAAGTGCTGGGATTACAGGCATGAGCCACTGCACCTGGCCGCATACTGACTATATTAAGCCCCACTGTTGAGACCTATTGCTCAGAAAAAAAGATTCCTTTAAAAATATTACTGCTCATTGACAATGCACTTAGTTACCCCAAGAGCTCTGATAGAGATACACAAGTAGATTAATGTTGTTTTCATCCCTCCTAACATGACATCCATAATATCAACATTAACAGGTATCTGGAAGAAGCTGATTCCAACTTTCATTGATGACTTTGAAAGGTTTAAGACTTCAGTGAAGGATGTAATGCAGATGTGTTAGAAATAGCAAGAGAATAGGAATTAGGAGTGGAGCCTGAAGATGTGACTGAATTTCTGTGATCTCAAAACTTGAATGGGTGAGGAGTTGCTTCTTATGGATAAGCAAAGAAAGCGGCTTCTTGAGATGGAAGTTTATTCCATCTTGAGATAGAAGTTTATTACATAAACTTAGTTGATATAGCAGTGGAAGAATTTGAAGGGATTGACTCCAGTTTGGAAAGAAATTCTGTGGGTACAATGCTATCAAACAGTACTGCATACTAAAGAGAAATCTTTCATGAAAGGAAAAGTTGATCAATGGGGCAACTTCATTGTCGTCTTCTTTTAAGAAATTGCCACAGCCATCCCCATGTTCAGCAACCAGCACCCTGAGCAGCTAGCAGTCATCAGTATTGAGGCAAGACTCTTCAACAAAAAGATTACAACTCTCTGAAGGCTCAGATGATCATTAGCAGTTTTTAGCAATAAAAAAATTTTAAATTCAGGTATGTGATTTTTTAGACATAATGCACAACTTTTATATGGACTGAGAAACAAAAAAATTCATGTGACTCACTTTATTGAGACATTTGCTTTATTGCAGTGGTCTGGAACTGAACACACAATATCTGCAGTATGCCTGTAGCTTGTCAAAACTCATAAATGTACAACACCAAGAGTGAACCTTAATGGAATTATGAACTTTGGGTGGTGATGATGTGTTGATGTGGGTTCATCTATTTTAACAAATGTACCACTCTGGTGTGAGAAGTTCTAGTAGGAGGGCTTTGGGGAGGAAGCAGGGTTTACATGGGACTTCTTTGTATTTTCTGCTCATTTTTTCTGTCAACCAAATAGCACTCTAAAAAATAAAGTCTACTTGGCTGGGCGCAGTGGCTCATGCCTGTAATCCCAGCACTTTGGGAGGCCGAGGTGGGCAGATCACCTGAGGTTGGGAGTTCAAGACCAGCCTGACTAACATGGAGAAACCTCATCTCTACTAAAAATACAAAATTAGCCAGGCGTGGTGGTGCGTGCCTATAATCCCAGCTACTCGGTGGGCTGAGGCAGGAGAACTGTTTGAACCCGGGAGGTGGAGGTTGCAGTGAGCCGAGGTCGTGCCATTGCACTCCAGCCTGGGCAACAAGAGCGAAACTCCGTCTCAAAAAAATAAATAAATAAATAATAATAAAATCTACTTAAAAAAAATTAAGGGTGCAACTTCTTACTTGCTGCTTCATGGTTCCCACAGAACACTTTTATAATTAGTACAGCCTCCACATTTGCTTCAACCTTTGAACACTATCTTCTTCAACTTCTGATTTCAAAAGAGTGGTTCAAAACTAATAACCATCCAGGCACAGTGGCACACACCTGTAATCCCAGCTAATCAGGAGGCTGAGGCAGGAGAATCACTTGGACCCAGGAGGCAGAGGCTGCAGTGAGCCAAGATCGTGCCACTGCACTTCAGCCTGAGCAACAGAGTGAAACTCCGTCTTAAACACACAAACAAACTGATAACCAATATAATTATTTAAATTAGCTATCCTGAATTCGGCAACCAAAAAAACATTAGATAAGAGTCAATGGATGGCTGGGTAGGTAAGGAATGTTATTTTTACGATAATTGGTTGGTTAAACTAGATAAAATAGTCTTCCTTAAACCAAAAATAATAGTAAATCCAAATAATTGCATTCTCTAATTTTACGGCTGCAGTTATACATATATCTAGAGATGTCTTTTTGGATCATTAATTTAAAGCTTAGAAAGTAAACACAGGCATGTGGAATAGAACATAAAATGTCACAAATTTCTTCTCTGGCTTATGAAATCAGTCTCATTATAAAACACTGTAAATCAACGACAAGATCGAGCCTTTTTTAAAATCTCACAAACAGTGGATTTTCATATCTGATTTATAACTCTTCATATTTAACACAAATTGAAGACATGAAGTAAAAAACATAAAATGAGTTTGATGATGAGATGTTATTAAGACTAGAAAATTCTGTAACTGTAACATCTGAGATCCAGTCTTTCCTAAGGACTTCTAAATCAACCCAATCTTTTCCTCTCATTGTCAACCTCTAAAATGATTATTAGAGCAAAAAGTCTCAAGAGCATTTTAATTCTCTTCTAAGCTACTATTTATTATTATTGGTTGGGAGAACAGAAAATATGTTCCACTGAATAGATTTAGTTACTTTGCTGAAATTATTTTGTAAAAGGACAAATCTTTATTTTCTTGGATCTTTTTTCTCATATAAGTAATATATTCATAATTTGAACTTTAAGTAAGGCTAGATGGATATTGCAAAGGTCTTCTGGTCTAATTATTCCTAATCACTGATTCAGTGATAATTCTTTGTGTCTTCAGCTTGTTTAGGCATTAAATGAAATTACCCCTAAATTGTCAAAGCTGACATATTTAAACAAAATAAACATTCATAATACTTTTTCTCCTTTTCTGAGGAGAGGAGTAGAGCTAGGGAGAAGAAACTATCTTTAGGACCTATTAAGACTTTCTAATCCTGCTACCTATTAGAAAAGTGCCTGGTACACTGAGATGATGAATATAACTTTTATAGTCACACAGACAAAGTGTATTCATAAGTAATACTAGCTGGTATAATGAACACTCAAGTCTTAGCAAAGATTTAGTTGAACAAAACAGAAGCTTGTTTTCCACTCACGTAAGGTCCAATGGAGTATTCAGAATCCTGGGTTCTTCCATCCCCTAGGACTTCCCACTATTTCTCAGCATCTTCTCCATCCAACAAGTACACCAGAGAAGAAGAGAGAGAACCCATGGGAGGTTTTGTGGTGTCAAAGTGGCTTACATCAGTTCCACCCATGTTCCCTTGGTTAGATCTCAGACACATGGCCACTGCTAATGAAAGAGAGGCTAAGAAATATAGCTTAGCTACATGACCAGAGTCAAGAAACAAAGAAACAAACAAAAAGCAGATTTGGTGAGCACCTAATCCATCTCTGCCACACTTGAATACAAATACTGGCCTGCTATATATCAGTTGGATGATTTAATGCAAGTTAACTGTTACACATGGAATACTGAACTTACACATGAGATAACATTTGAAGAAAAAGTTCCACAGCTAAAACGAAGTTTGAAAACATCTGTACTACAGCAACAGCAAAGTTCCCCTTACAGAAAAGGTTAGACACCCATAAATTCACGATGCAAACAGTTAATATGTCCCATTTAATATGCTATCTGCTTGGAGACCAGATAGCTTTACTAGGGATAAATGCAAAATAAAAATGCATAGTCCAGGTGGGCCAGGCATGGTGGCTCATGCCTGTAATCCCTGCACTTTCAGAGGCCGAGGCGGGCAGATCACGAGGTCAAGAGATCGAGACCATCGTGGCTAACACAGTGAAACCCCGTCTCTACTAAAAATACAAAAAATTAGCCGAGCGTGGTGGCAGGCACCTGTAGTCCCAGCTACTTGGGAGGCTGAGGCAGGAGAATGGCATGAACCCAGGAGGCAGAGCTTGCAGTGAGCCGAGATTGCGCCACTGCACTCCAGCCTGGGCGACAGAGCGAGACTCTGTCTCAAAAAAAAAAAAAAAATACATAGTCCAGGTGATGTTACTGATTAAAATGTGTGAGTTTCAGCCAATGGCAGCTACTATGTGAAACATACTTGACTGCCCAAAAGGTATTTGTTTTTATCTTTGGCTTAGCATTCAGGTATTTTCTATGACCTGGTTAAGTAAGGTTTCCAAATAGCTAAGTTCCAAATAAGTCAAGTTATATGTATGGCTACAGTAACTACTACTACAAGACACAAGTTAATCTTCTTACCTTCCTGAAATTATTTATTTATTTATTCATCCATTCATTCATTCATTCATTCATTCTAAGGTTCTCACTCAGTCATCCAGGCTGGAGAGCAGTGGCAGGATGATAGCTCGTTCACTATAGCCTTGAACTCCTAGACTCAAGTGATCCACTTGCTTCAGCCTCCCAAGTAGCTAGGACTACAGACATGGATTACCACGCCCAGTTAGTTTTTGTTTTGTTTTGTCTTGTCTTGCTTTTGTAGAGGTAGTCTCAAGATGTTGTCCAGGCTGGTCTTGAACTCCTGGCCTCAAGCAATCCCAAAGGATTGCTATCAATCCTTTGGGAGTCTCCCAAAGTGTTAGAATTACAGGTATGAGCTACCACGTCCAGCCTCTTCCTGAATTCAGATAGAAATATATTCTTTTCAGGGTTTGTGTTTGGAGTTTTTTTTTTCCCTATATAAAGTCCTCATATCTATAGTAAAAAGTTCAGTGAGTTCTCATGTATTTGTATTCACCACTCAATTCAGCTCACAGATTTTCAGGATCCCAGAAGGTTCCCTCATACTCTTTTTCAGTCTTTTGTTGCTCCTTCCCCCACTCCCCCAAGAACCTTCAGGTAACTTATTTTCACTTCTGTCATACAGATTAGTTTTACTCTTTTTAAAAATTAATTCATATAAATAAAATTTATTATATATAAATAAAATTATACATTATGTACTCCTTTGCCTTGCTTCTTATGCTCATCATTGTGTCTCAGATTCATCCACATTGTTGTATATAACTTGATTATTTTGTTGCCATGTATTTCATCGTATCATAATTTAACTGTTCCACTGTTGATGAACATTTGATCGTATCCAGTTTTTGTCTATGATAAAGCTGCCATTAATATTCCTGTACAGACTTTTGGTAGATGTCTACACTCTTTTCTCATAGTTATGTTCCTAGACATGGAGTTGCTGGTCGTAAGGTAGGCACATGTGTAATTTTAGTGAATATGGCTAGGTACAGTGGCTCATGCCTGTAATCCCTGCACTTTGGGAAGCCGAGGCAGGAGAATCGCTTGCACCCAGGAGTTTGAGATCAGCCTGGGCAACATAGTGAGACCTCGTTTCTATAGCAAACGAAAGAAAAAGAAATTGAACTGGGCACAGTAGCATGCACCTGTAGTCCCAGCTACTCCAGAGGCTGAGGTGGCAGTATTGCTTGAGCCAGGGAGGTCAAGGTTGTGGTGAGCCGAGATCACACCACTGCACTCCAGCCTGGGCAACAGAGTGAGACCCTGTCTCTTAAAAAAGAATAGTGAATATAACCACACAGTTTTCCAAAGTGGTTGTACCTAGTTGGGAATACAATTAAACCATCTTGGAGAAAGACTGCTTTGTACTTTCAAAGGTCAGGAAAGTACACACAGCTTTTCTCAGAAAATCATTTCATTGTCTGGTGATTACGCCTAAATATAATTCTTTATTGATTGAATATAGTGGGCACCAATGAGACTCAAATACCTTCAATGTTATGATATTTAAAGAGTTAGATAGAAGTGGCCGGGCACGGCGGCTCATGGCTCATGCCTGTAATCCCAACACTTTTGGGAGGCTGAGGCAGGTGGATCATGAGGTCAGGAGTTTGAGACCAGCCTGGCCAATACGGTGAGACCCCATCTCTACTAAAAATACAAAAATTAGTTGGGCGTGGTGGTGCATACCTGTAGTCCCACCTACTCGGGAGGCTGAGGCAGAAGAATGGCTTGAACCCAGGAGGCGGACGTTGCAGTGAGCCGAGATCATGCCACTGCACTCCAGCCTGAGCGACAGAGTGAGACTCCGTCTCAAAAAAACAGAAAAAAAAAGAGTTAGAAGTCTACATCATCTCACTTCCTTCGCGTTGTTTATTATACTGCCGCCTCTTACCAGTTCCTCCGTTAGCTGGCATGATCATTAAAAGATCACAAAGCTCACATATGAAGACCACAAAAACAACAATCTGAAAATGCTATTTTTATATTTGTTTCAGTTATTTATGCTTGTTATAGTTCATTACATTTTGTGTTTGGGAATTCTTTGTAATTCATTCCTTAAATATATATGTTGAATGCATACTGCCTTGTAATGGAATGAACTAGCTGAAGTTTTTATTCTGCCGTTTTTTTGGCAAGTTTTACAATTTTTCAGGGTCACTTTCACTTTAGACATTCTTTCCCAAAGTGTAGACCATTTCTACATCTACCAGAATCCTAGAAGTATAGAAAAGAAGGGACCTCATAAACTATATACTATACCTCCTCATTTTATAGTTCATTTGAATATTAAGTGGGATAGAATAAAAAAATACTGCTCAAGCCGTAACATTCATTCAGGGACCTCAACTGACATTTTTTAAAGCATTTATTGTATTATCAAATTCATGCTAAGGACTGGGGATAAAAAACAATGCATTCTATATTCCCTCAATGGCCTCCATTTAGTTAGGGAAAACAGACATGGACACAAGTAACTGTTACGATGGTTGGTTTGTGCAAAAATATAAAGTACATACAGAATTCAATGGGGACAAAATGGAAACCATAGTCTACCCTATGGGGAATGAGAGAAAGGGAGAGTAAATGAAGAAAGCACTATAGAAAAAAAAGTCAATTTTCCTAGGTTTTACAGGAGGAGGGTTTTTTTAGGTTAAGGGGATAGAGTTTGAGGGTATAAGAAAAGCATTACCAGCAAAGAGAACAGCATGGGCAAATATATGAAGACATAAAACAGCACGATCCATTTCAGGTACTGATAAAGAATCCAGAGTATGGGGCGAGAAGCAATGGGAGACAACACTGTAGAGGCAGATCAAGGGAGGAATAGTGAGTTTCTTCCTTATTAAAGAATCTGGACTTCATCTTATAAATAATGAGGAGCTACTGAAAAAGTTTAAATAAGCTAGTAATGTGATCATGTTTGTGCTTTTTTAAGAAAGCTCTTTCTGGCAACGAGCAGGAAATTAGATGGGAAAGGGATAAGGATCAAGGTAGGGAGGTGAGCTAGGATACAATCAGAAGTGAAATGATGAGAACCTGAACTAAGAGTGGAGTCAGAGCTGGCTCCAAGATCTATCAAAGACTTCACATATGAAACAACTAACCAGATGGTGAAGAAGTTCTTGGTTGAGTCAACAATCTGGAGAAGTGAGCATGGTATCAGGAGCAGTTCTTGCTTGAGGGCTTTTGTTACCTAGAAGAGGTCCTCAGAAACTGAGCTGTGTCTTTAATAGCCACATGGAGCTAAAGGGATAAAAGTCAGAGACCAGGCTTGACAGGGTTCAAACCCCAGGTGACCAATCCCTGTCCCTTTAGCCCATGTTAGACCGGGAGTCTAAAGAGCTACACCCTAGGACTACAGGTTAACCATAAGTAAATGAGATTTGTAAAGAGACTAGCTTCAAGTCTTCTAGGTAGTTCATCAAAAATCTCCAGTCCCAGTCCCAAAACTAAATTATGTTCTACAGTACTAGAGCCCTTGGTGTTTGGACAGAGCAAACAAAAATTTTATTAAGAGAAATGCATTATCCTAAGCCCAAAATGATTTCCATATATAAATTTTCAAATAGGTCCACAGATCTTTATCTAAACTTTCAGACCAAATGTCTTTCAGAATTCAGAAGACTTTAGATTTTAGAAAGGTAATATGGCACATGCACCATAATACTATGTTATATCACCAGTGGAATGTTTGGCGGCACCTGTTATCAGTCTGAAGCAAACTTTAACAACATTCCCGCAAAGTAGGATAAGACTAAACAGCTCTGTGGCACTTCACAGCAGGTTTGGCCAACAAATGAGTCACAAAAAATCTTTTAAGTTATTTGAACTTTTTTGATTTCAAAATTGTAGACAAGGGACTATAATTTCGTATAATGTTCAACACACAATCAAAGATAAGGAAGTCCCCAAGGACAAAAGAAATCATAAGCACTAACAAGAAAATCAACAGGCAACAAAAATATATTAACAGAAACATTAACAGAGATATGATGTGTTTGAATTACAAGGCCAGGTCAATATAATTATATGTTTACAATATATAAGACAATAAATCCAAGCTTGAAAGTTTGGCAGAAAACTAAAAATTATAAAGTGTCAAAGTAGATTAGAAAAATAACTAAATACAAATCCTAGAACTATGAAAAACCATTAGATACTGCTAAAGAGAGAATAAGGTCAGAGGAAACTATCTAGAATGAAGCATGAAAAGACAAAAACATGAAAAATATAAAAATAGAAGAGTAAAGTGACCTAACAGTCACAGGGAGAAAATTTAACATGTTAAATTGAACTACCAAAAGAAAAGGAGAGAAAGAATGGAGAAGCGGTGTTATTTAAAAAGATAATGACTAATATTTTTCCACATTTGATAAAAGATATCAATCCATAGTTTCAAGAAGCCCAAAGAATTCAAATAGAAATAAATAAAAAGAAATCCAGGAAATGGAGATGAAGTAAGAAAGAGAAAGAAGGCCCCTAAAACAGGCAGAAATTAGAAAAGCAAAATATAATATACATACATAGTCTAGGAGACTGATCTGTATATATTAATCAGATAATGATATCTGATTAATAAGAGTCCAAGAAAGAGAGAATGGAAAAATGGATGTTATCATATGAGAGAGAGAGAAAAAGAGAGAAAAGGAGATATAAACAGATGAATTATCCAGAAATGAAATACAAGTCTTTAGACTAAAAGCCCATGAATTAAAAAAGACCCAACCAGAGCACATCATCATGCTATTTCAAAACAATGGGAATAAAGACATGAGCTTAAAACTTCAAAAGAGAGGTGAATATAAAGGTCACCTATATAGGAATGGAAAAAGATGAGAAAACGCTGACTACTTGGGAGTTACACTGAATGCCTCTAAAATACTGAAAGCCTGTTACACCAAAATGACAGGCAAGGATTCAGAAATATTGATCCCAATGCACTATTTCTTAGGAAGCTACTTGATAATATGCCTCAGCAAAATGAAAATTAATTCAAGAAAGAGAAAGAAATGATATCCAGGACAATAGTATCCAATCCATAAAAGCATTTATGGGAAGTCTCATGGCTAAGTCACATAGCAGGTCTAGAGAGCAACCAACGGAGACAAAAGATAATGGACACAAAGCTCCAGAATTATCTCCAAAAACAGCAAAATATGTGTGGGGTGGGATAATTTAATATAAAATTATATAAGAGCACTTGATATCATGGCATACTTGAAAAAATGAGAATATGAAAGACAATACAAAAAGACAATTAAAAATTTAAGGAAAAATTGAATAAGATGCACCAGAAAAGAAATATAACCAAAGTACCATACGATCATTTAAAAAAAAAAATCTTTTTTCCCTGATTTTATCAGAGGAACCTGCCCCCAATATTTCAATGTAGGTTCTTTCTATTTTCCATAAGTGTTGGCCGGCTGAGAAATAAAGAGAAAGAGTACAAAGAGAGGAATTTTACAGCTGGGCCGCCAGGGGTGACATCACATATCGGTAGGACAGTGATGCCCACCTGAGCCTCAAACCAGCAAGTTTTTTATTAAGAGTTTCAAAAGGGAAGGGGGTGTAATAACAGAGAGTAGGTACAAAGATCACATACTTCAAAGCGCAAAAAGCAGAACAAAGATCACATGCTTCTGAGGGAACAGGACAAAAGGCAAAAGCAGAACTACTGATAAGGGTCCAACAAAGATCACAGGTCAAAGGGCAAAAGCAGAACTACTGATAAGGGTCTATGTTCAGCAGTGCATGTATTCTATTGATAAACATCTTAAACAACGGAGAACAGGGTTCGAGAGCAGAGAACTGGTCTGATCACAAATTTACTAGCGCGGAGTTTTTTTCCCACCCTAGTAAGCCTGAGGGTACTGCAGAAGACCAGGGCGTATCTCAGTCCTTATCTCAACTGCATAAGACAGACACTCCCAGAGCGGCTGTTTATAGACCTCCCCCAAGGAATGCATTCCTTTCCCAGGGTATTAATATTAATATTCCTTGCTAGCAAAAGAATTTAGCGATGTCTCTCCTACTCGCACATCCATTTATAGGCTCTCTGCAAGAAGAAAAATATGGCTGTTTTTGCCCAACCCTGCAGACAGTCAGACCTTACAGTTGTCTTCCCTTGTTCCCTAAAAATCGCTGTTATTCTGTTCTTCCTCAAGGTGCACTGATTTCATATTGTTCAAACACACATTTTACAATCGATTTGTACAGTTAACACAATAATCACAGTGGTCCTGAGGTGACGTACATCCTCAGCTTATGAAGATAACAGGATTAAGAGATTAAAGTAAAGATAGGCATAAGAAATTATAAAAGTATTATTTGGGAACTGATAAATGTCCATGAAATCTTCACAATTCATATTCCTCTGCCGTGGCTCCAGCCAGTCCGTTTGGGGTCCCTGACCTCCCGCAACATGATTTGACTAAAATGTGTGCTACAGCTATATGGGGGATGCTATAGTGGAACTGTGTGGTATAAGAGTTCTAATGTTTTTATCATGAGAGAAAATAAATAGATAATATCTAAAATGAATAAGTTAAAAAGTAGAGGATATTATCATGTTACTTATGTGTGTGGGGGGTGGGGAGAGGACTGTTTTTTATTATAAGCTGTATGATATAAGTTATTAACCATATGCATTTTTCAGTCTGATAAAACTTGTTTTAATAATAAAAAGGAATCATCCAAAATCCCATCACTCAATACTTTAGCCTATTTTTTTCTAGGATATTTGTCCCTCAGTATCCATGGGGAATCGGTTCCAGGATTCCCTTCAATACCAAAATATGAGGATGCTCAAGTCTTTTACATAAAATGTCGTAGTATTTGCACATAATCTATACCCAATTTTAAATTATCACCAGATTACTTATAATATCTAACACAATATAAATGTTACATCAATAGTTCTTATACCGTATTTTGTATTTGTGTTATTTTTATTGTTATTATTACTTTTTCTAATATCTTCAATCCATGGTTGGTTGAATCTGCAGATGTGGGACCTGAGGATACAGAGGACAAACTGTATTTATTTTTTCCCATATGTGTGTGCATATTTCTTTGGATATAAGGTCAGAATGTTTTTCTTTTTACATAACATCAGTATTTCCAATCATCATTTAAATGCTTTAAAATCATTACTTTTTTTTTTTTTTTTTTGAGACAAGGTCTCACTCTGTCACCCACTGCAGCCTCAAACTCCTGAGCTAAAGCAATCCTCCTGCCTCAGCCTCCCGAGTAGCTTGGACTACAGGTTTGCAACACCATGCCCAGCTAATATATATATTTTTTATTTTTAGGAAAGACAAGGTCTTGCTATGTAGTCCAGGCTGGTCTCGAACTCCTAAGCTTAAGCAATCCCACTGCCTTGGCCTCCCAAAGTGCTAGGACTACAGGAGTAAGCCACCTCGTCTGGCTGAGATCATTACTTTTAATGTCTGAATTACATTACATTGAGTGGAGTACCATAATTTATTCAGCCATTCCACTATTGATGAACTTTTTTTTAAAGGTTACTCCAAGTTTTTCATTTGTTTGCTTTGTTTTTACTGTTAGAAGTAACATTATAAAAAATGTTAATATAGATCTTTGTCAAATCTTTACTTTTCTCAGGTATATTGTTAAAATTACTGGTTCAAGGGACATAAAAAATTTAAGGCTTTCACCAAAGAGTAGTGACTAGGATGGAAAAATTGATAAAGAAGACAGTGATGAACTGTAAAGAACAAGGACTTTGCAGCCAGGAAGCTTTCTATGCCCAGTATTAGTTCTATTCCTTATTAGCCATGCAACTATATTTTGGCTTGTCACTTAACCTTCTTCCTCATCTGGAAGATGAAAATACTTTTCTCATAGAGTTGTTATAAACATTGATTGAGATAACATAGCAAGTGTCAAGTGTCACACCTATTATCAATAATCCTTAGCTGAGAGTTTTAACTAGTAGAAAGGGAAAGCTTGACTATACAAGACAGGATCAGTGTAGCAAGATCTGGTAGTGGATGGGAAGGTGAAGGAAATACTAGAAAGGAATATACTTTAGCCATTTGGTCTCTCAAATGGGATCTTTGTATAAGAACAAAACAGAATGCTACCCCTCTTTCCTGTCTCGCTTTCTTCACCTCTATCTTTCCTGAAACTTTCGTCTCAAGATGGCTTTTCTGGGTAGACAGGAGTTCAGAGAGGACAGAGTACACAGAGCAAGATAAATACACCAAAAAGAATTCTCTATTTAAGAGAAGGGCAAAGGACTTGAGCTAAGGAAGAAAGCTGAAGAACAGTCAGAGTGTCAGGATAACAATGTCAAGGAAACCAGAGGAAAAAAGAATTTCAAGGAGAGGATGGTCCGTAATGTCACATAGAAGTCAATAATGTTGTGGAGTTAAAAGTTGCCATTAGATTTATCAGCTAGGAAATTTGTAATTTCAATAAAATGGTAAGTATGGGTGGCAAGTTCCTATAGGCTAAGAAGTAAGTGGTTGGTGAGGACGTATACATCTAAAGTGATCTAATGTAAGGCAGCAGAGGTGTGAACATGAGTCTTTTTTTTTTGTTAGACGGAGTCTCGCTCTGTCGCCCAGGCTGGAGTGCAGTGGCGCGATCTCAGCTCACTGCAAGCTCTGCCTCCTGGGTTCATGCCATTCTCCTGCCTCAGCCTCCCAAGTAGCTGGGAGTATAGGCGCCCGCCACCACACCTGGCTAATTTTTTGTATTCTTTAGTAGAGACAGGGTTTCACCATGTTGGCCAGGATGGTCTCGATCTCCTGACGTCGTGATCAGCCCACCTCAGCCTCCCAAAGTGCTGGGATTACAGGTGTGATCCACTGCGCCCGGCCCATAAGAGTCTTTTTAAAAAATTATTGTTAACAAGGTTGGTGACCCATGACTCTGCTTTTGGCTTTTAATTAAAGCACTCAAGAAAAAGTCACTTTATAAAAATTTCTCTAAGATCTGGTATAGCCTGTTAATTCACACAAGCATGTATTTTTCTATAAACAATTTTCTGGGCTGGGCACAGTGCCTCACACCTGTAATCACAGCACTTTGGGAGGCCAAGGCAGGCAAATCACCTGAGGTCAGGAGCTCAAGACCAGCCTGGCCAACATGGTGAAACCCAGTCTCTACCAAAAATACAAAAATTAGCTGGGCATGGAAGCGTACGCCTATAATCCCAGATACTCAGGAGGCTGAGGCACAAGAATTGCTTGAATGCAGGAGGTGGAGGTTGCACTGAGCCAAGATCATGCCACTGTACTCCAGCCTGGGCGACAGAGCAAGACTCTGTCTCACAGTTTATGAATGACAGCAAAGATGCTTTGACACCAGATGATATTTTCAGCTAGTAATTCTAATAATTCTTTTCTCTTTTTTATGATGGATATATGGTAGATCCTAGTTATGGTCAAGGAATGAATTTGGAAGCCTTCACATTTTCCTCTGATTATGAAATACCATTGTATTTCATTTTCTGGAAGAAAGCACACGCTAAATCACAATTGAAATTAAGTGGCAAATGATGCACCTTTTAACTTTATAAGCATTTTGTACATAATTGAAAAAACCTGTGAAACAATTTCATACATTGCTTTGATTCTTTCTGTACAGAATATAGGATGGATTTACTCAAATCTTAAAGTCAGGGTGTTTCAGATTTCAATGTTTTGCTTTTTAATTTATGCAAAATTTCAATATTTGGCTTACGAACCATCTTTCAGTTATTTAATTCCATCATCAACATCAGCAAGTAGTTTTGTTCTGGGTATCACTTTTAAAATATAAAATACTCCAGTCTGTGTAGCTGCCTAAGAAGGGTATGGCATACTATGTATCCTTGAGGAACAGGGTCAAACTATCAAAGATACAGAGATGAATAGTGTTAGTATAAGGCTTCACTTACTTAGTGCAGTGCCTGGCTTCCTCTCATGAACCTCCTGGTGTGTATTAACCATCAATATTAACTATCACAAGTCCACCCCTTGTCAACCTGAACCCATATGCATCTCCTGAGATCATAATCTCCAAATAAACACAATAATAAGGTCATAATTATGCCTAACATAATACAACTATCCTTCGTACAACCAGAGACGCACCAATCCCCAACCCAAATGTTATTACATAAAGTTAACAACACTTAAATGCCGATACAATGAAGATATTTTCTTAATACAAGTGTATAAATGTACAAATATGTTTTTAGCAAAAGGAGAAAATACTCATGACAATTATGGTCCTCATTTCTGCAACTGGCCACATGGTTGTAGCTGGTATTGATGACCTTCTTCTACTACTACCAATTCTGTATTCCCTTTGCCTTCAGCAAGCACCTCAGCAGGTCATGGTTTTTTTTCCTGGTGGAGAGACCCAAACCTTCATTCCTGAAGAGTCTGGGCCATTTGTAGTCTTGCCTGGATTGGGCTGTTGTAGTTTCCCATTGACCTTAATCACAGAGTATGGTAATACTAAGAGATGCTCCAAGGGATCTCCTGTATTCTACACATACTCTTCCTTACCTCCATTGTGGAGCAGTAGACTGATTTCATCTTGATAGTCCAGTCAATCACCCCAGCCAACACAGTAACTTCCTTCTTAGCCTGTTAACTTAAAGGTAGGAGGAGCCCAAAGTGTCCAGGTGGCAATATTAACTTCCAGTTTAATGGAATCACTGTTGTGCCTCCTGGTGGCAGTGTTCTTCCCTCTGGAACTAAGACCTCTAGGCCAGCAGAACATAATGTTGCAGGAATAGGAAGCAAAAATTGTGCTAGTGGATCACTAGGGGTGATACTGAATGGTGCCACTTTTCCATCCCTTGATTCCTGGACCTGTGAATTCTGGCTATGCAAGAAACAGTACCATGTATTAGATGCCGATTCAGAGCATGCACAGCCTTCTGGAGAACTCTGCCCCAGCCTTGCCAAGTATTCTCACCTAGATGGCATTGTAATTGTAACTTCAAAAGGCCATTCTACCGTTCTATCAATCCAGCTGCTTCAGGATGATGAGGAACATGGTAAGACCAGTGAATTCCATAAGCATGAGCCCACTGCCACACATCTTTAGCCATAAAGTGAGTGCCTTGGTCAGAGGCAATGCTGTGTGGAATACCATGACAGTGGATAAGGCATTCCTTGAGTCCACATATGGTAGTCTTGGTAGAAGCATTATGTGCAGGATAGGCAAGCCCCTATCCAGAGTAAGTGTCTATTCCAGTGAGGACAAACCTCTGCCCTTTCCATGATAGAAGAGGTCCAATATAATCGACCTGTCACCAACTAGCTGGCTGATCACCCAGAGGAATGGTGCCATTTTGAGGGCTCAGTTTTGGTCTCTGCTGCTGGCAAATTGGGCATTCAGCAGTGGCCATGGCCAAGTCAGCCTTGGTAAGTGGAAGTCCATGTTGCTGAGCCCATGCATAACCTCCACCCCTGCCACCATGACCACTTTGTTCATGGGCCCATTGGGCAATGACACAGGTGGCTGGGGAAACAGGCTGAGTGGTGCATACAGAACGAGTCATCCCATCCACTTGATTATTAAAATCCTCCTCTGCCAAGGTCACCCTTTGGTGAGCACCCACATGGGATACAAATACCTTCACAGTTTTTGACCACTCAGAGAGGCCCATCCACATACCTCTTCCCCAGATTTCTTTGTCACCAGTTTTCCAATCATGCTTCTTCCAAGTCCCTGACCATCCGGCCAAACCATTGACTATAGCCCATGACTCAGTATATAATAACACATCTGGCCACTTCTCCTTCCATGCAAAGTGCACACCCAGGTGCACTGCTTGAAGTTCTGCCCACTGGAAAGATTTTCCTTCACCGCTATCCTCCAGGGATGTCCTAGAAAGGGGCTGTAGTGCTGCAGCTGTCCACTTTCAGGTGGTGCCTGCATATTGTGCAGAACCATCTGTGAACCAGGCCTTAGTCTTCTCTTCCTCTGTCAGCTGATCATAGGGAACTCCCCATGAGGCCATCAGTGCAGGCTGGGGGAGAGAAGGCAGGGTGGCAGGAGTGAAAACCATGGGCGTTTGAGCCACTTCCTCATGTAACTTACTTGTGCCTTCAGGACCTGCTCAAGCCCGATCATGTATATACCACTTCCATTTGACGATGGATACTGTAAGTCAAACCTGAGCTAAAACTCCATTAATTACCTGACCTCCATAAGCCACTACTTTAACTGGAGGACCACAGTGATGTTTTGGGTCCCCTGGAATCAACGTCAGCTCAGAGCCAGTGTCCAATGGTCCCGGAAATGTCTGATCATTTCCCTTTCTCCAATGCACAGTTACTCTGGTAAAAGGCCAGAGGTCCCTTTGGGGAAGCAGGGAGAAAGATTTACACATAAATTGTCGGTAGAGGGATCCTTCTTCAAGGGGACCCGGCCTCCCCTTCATTCAAGGGGTTCTGGGTCTGTAAACTAGCTCAAGTCTGGAAATTGAGGAGCCATGATTCTGTTTTTATAATTCAAATTAGTTTTCTGTCCACTTGACCTGAACGTTTTCTGCTTATATAAATTAAGTAGGAATGCCGTAGGCTTCTATCAGTTTCACTTCTAGAAACACCATGATTAATTAGCCAATGGCAGAGCTCTACACAAGTCAAACTATTCTGATTGCTGCTTTGCCTCTGCTGTCCATTATGGTAGCTATGTTTACCTTGCTTTTGACAGTTGAGTGCCACCACTTGGCCCCTGCCACACTGGAATCCAATTATTCCCACTGCATTTAAATTTTGTAGTTGAACGACTGCAGTTCCCACAGTTAGATCTGGCATACAGAGAAAAGCAATCCCTATGGAGCTCTTCCAAGATGCAGATGCTGCCCTCACAAATCCATTTCGCTAAGGGTATAGCTTCTGGACTCTTCCAGCTGGGATGAGTAGGTCTAAAGTGACTAATCCACTCCAGTATCACAATCTTCCTAAACCCTTGGATCCCTTCCTCTACATTAAACCAAGGGAGATTAGGCATTTCCAGCTTACTCACAGTGGGCCATCTTTTAATTCACAATTCACCTAACCAAGCAAATGAACTATTAGAACCTTTTTTTAACTCCCCAAGCTGCCACATAAATGCAGAATCCCTACTTAGGGGGCCCAAATTGATAAATTCAGCCTGATCCAACTCTACGTTCCATCCACCATCATCCCACACCCTTAATATCCATTCCCATGCCTGTTCTCCAGATTTCTGCTTATATAAATTAGAGAACTCAGCAGTTTTTTTCGAGTGTAGCACACCTCCTTGTGGGTCACACTCTGAACCTCACCTCTAGGAGCCTGCTGGGACTTTAGTCTAATTATAGGTCTAGAAGCTCACAGGGTGTTGGAGGTGGGTCCTGGGTGTCTTGCCAGGCACCGGCCTCAGGGGACGCCATCACTGTTGCCTTAGGCAGCATATCTCCTCAAACAAAGGTGGAAAGGATGATGGCAGCATGGGTTGGGGAGGGGATGCTGCCACTACTGGGGATGAGGAAGCTGTTTCTTCTGGTAAAAAGGGTTCATCAGAGTTTACAAGCTCAGTGTCCCCAGCTTCGTCAGGGTCCTCTCACACGTCACCATTCCAAGTTGCAGGGTCCCATTCTTTTCCAGTAAATGCCCTCACTTTAATAGTAGACACCTGGCGAGGCTGTCCATGCACCTTTTGTTGCAGGTCAGTCACTCACATAAGAGCTTCTGTCTGTTTTCCCACAATTTCAACTCTTTCTCTACAGGAGATAAGACTCTCAATCACTGCAATCTTAACAGATTTGAGGCTCAGTATCTGCTTCTGAAGCCAGCAGTTAGAAGCCCCGAGTTCATTATTTTCTTAAATCACTTGGTCCAGTTAGAAGCAACTAACCAACTTCATTATGTTTTTTGGTTCTCCATATATGGTCAAAGGTATTATGTATAAAGTTGCTAAACTCTTTGCCTCTCAGGAGCAGCGCATCAGGAATGTCAAACGCATTTATTTTGCATAACTCTCTAAACAGTTCACGCCAAGGACTATCACTGTTCTCCACATTATTAGAAGTAGCGTCCTTAGCATTTTGGGGTCTATTCGTATTAAGCAGCCAACTCCAGAAACCCCAGAACCAACAAAAGAACTCCATCCTTAATATTCTGTTCCTCTAGAACCACTCTTGGTACCAAAATTTGTATTAGTCAGGGTTCTCTAGAGGGACAGAGCTAATAGGACAGATGTATATATAAAGGGGAGTATATTAAGGAGTATTAACTCACACGATCACGAGGTACCATAATAGGCCGTCTGCAAGCTGAGGAGCAAGGAAGCTGGTCCGAGTCCCAGAGCTCAAGAACCTGGAGCCCGATGTTCAGGGCAGGAAGCATCCAGCATGGGAGAAAGATGTAGGCCGGGAGGCTAAGCCAGTCTAATCTCTCCACGATCTTCTGCCTGTTTTTTATTCTGGCCACGCTGGCAGCTGATTAGATGGTGCCCACCCAGATTGAGGGTTGGTCTGCCTCTCTCAGTCCACTGACTCAAAAGTTAATCTCCTTTGGCAACACCCTCACGGATAGACCTGGGAACAATACTTTGCATCCTTCAATCCAATTAAGTTGACACTATTAACCATCACATGGTGGTTGTGCCTAACATTTTTGTCTCCAAAAAAAAACACAGAAGATTGGTTGTCATGAAACATACATATTCACATGTGCACATATTCAATGTTGTATGTACCTGTAGTTCATTTTTACTACTGTAAAATATATTCCAATTTATGAATTTATCAGCATTTAACCAATCTACTGATAATGAACATTTGAGTTATCTCCAATTTTTTGGTTTTATGAACAATGTTCCTGTGAACTTTTTTATATATGTCTCTTGGTCCACATATTTAAGAATTCCTCGGGGTGTCCGTTCCAAGATGGCCAAATAGGAACAGCTCTGGTCTGCAGCTCCTAGCATGATCAACGTAGAAGACAGGTGATTTCTGCATTTCCAACTGAGGTACCTGGTTCATCTCATTGGGACTGGTCAGAAAGTGGGTACAGCCCACGGAGGGCGAGCTGAAGGAGGGTGGGGCATCACCTCACCCGGGAAGCGCAAGGTGTCGAGGGATTTCCCTTTCCTAGCCAAGGGAAGCCTTGACAGACTGTACTAGGAAATCGGGACACTGCCACCTAAACACTGCACTTTTCCAGTGGTCTTAGCAAATGGCACACCAGGAGATTATATCCCATGCCTGGCTCAGCGGGTCCCACGCCCACGAAGCCTTGTTCACTGCTAGTCCCAGATCGAACTGCAGGGCAGCCAGCCTGGCTGGAGGAGGTGTCCACCATTACTTGAGTAGGTAAACAAAGCGGCCAGGAACCTTGAACTGGGTGGAGCCCACCGCAGCTCAATGAGGACCACTTGCCTCTGTAGACTCCACCTCTGGGGGCAGGGCACAGCTGAACAAAACACAACAAAAACTTCTGCAGACTTAAACGTTCCTGTCTGACAGCTCTGAAGAGAGCAGTAGTTCTCCCAGCACAGTGTTTGAGCTCTGGGAATGGACAGATTGCACCCTCAAGTGGGTGCCTGACCCCCAGGTAGCCTAACTTGGAGACACCTCCCAGCAGGGGCCAACTGACACCTCATACAACCAGGTGCCCCTCTGAGACAAAGCTTCCAGAGAAAGGATCAGGCAGCAATATTTGCTGTTCTGCAATATTTGCTGTTCTGTAGCCTCCACTGGTGATACCCAGGCAAACACGGTCTGGAGTGGACCTCCAGCAAACTCCAACAGACCTGCAGCTGAGGGACCTGACTATTAGAAGGAAAACTAACAAACAGAAAGGAATAGCATCAACATCAACAAAAAGGACATCCACACCAAAACCCCATCTGTAGGTCACCATCATCAAAGACCAAAGTTAGATAAAACCACAAAGATGGGGAGAAACCAGAGCAGAAAAGCTGAAAATTCTAAAAACCAGAGTGCCCCCTCCAGATGCTGGAGAGGATGTGGAGAAATAGGAATGCTTTTACACTTTTGGTGGGAGTGTAAACTAGTTCAACCATTGTGGAAGACAGTGTGGCAATTCCTCAAGGATCTAGAACTAGGAATACCATCTGACCCAGAGATCCCATTACTGGGTATATATATACCCAAAGGATTATAAATCATGCTACTATAAAGACACATGCACATGTATGTTTATTGTGGCACTATTCACAAGAGCAAAGACTTGGAACCAACCCAAATGTCCATCAATGATAGACTGGATTAAGCAAATGTGGCACATATACACCATGGAATACTAAGCAGCCACAAAAAAGGATGAGTTCATGTCCTTTGTAGCGACATGGATGAAGCTGGAAACCATCATTCTGAGCAAACTATTCCAAGGACAGAAAACCAAACACTGCATGTTCTCACTCATAGGTGGGAACTGAACAATGAGAATAGTTGGACACAGGGCGGGGAACATCACACAGCGGGGCCTGTCATTGGGTGGGGGAATGGGGGAAGGATAGCATTAGGAGAAATACCTAATGTAAATGATGAGTTAATGGGTGCAGCAAACCAAAATGGCACATGTATACACATGTAACAAACCTGCACATTGTGCACATGTACCCTAGAACTTAAAGTATAATAATTTTTTAAAAAGAAGAATTTCTCTAGAATAAATAGGCAGAAATAAAATTGCCGAGTCTTAAGCTATGAGCATGTTTAACTTTTTTTTTTTTTTTTTTTTCCCCAGATGGAGTCTAGCTCTGTTGCCCAGGCTGGGGTGCAGTGGCACAATCTTGGCTCACTGCAGCCTCCCTTTCCTGGGTTCAAGCAATTCTCCTGCCTCAGCCTCCCGAGTAGCTGGGGCTACAGGTGCACACCACCACGCCTGGTTTTTTTTTCGAGACAGAGTCTCGCTCTGTCGCTCATGCTGGAGTCCAATGGCACAATCTCGGCTCACTGCAACCTCTGCCTCCCAGGTTCAAGCAATTCTCCTGCCCATCTCCTGAGTAGCTAGGATTACAGACGTGAGCCACCAAGCCCAGCTAATTTTTGTATTTTTAATAGAGACGAGGTTTCACCATGTTGGTCAGGCTGGTCTCAAACTCCTGACATCGTGATCTGCCTGCCTCGGCCCCCCAAAGTTTTGGGATTACAGGCGTGAGCCACCACGCCCGGCCACACCTGGCTAATTTTTGTATTTCAGTAGAGACAACGTTTCACGATGTTGGCCAGGCTGGTCTTTAACTCCTGAACTCAAGTGATCTGTCCACCTCGGCCTCCCAAAGTGCTGGGATTATAGGTGTCAGCCACTGTGCCTGGCTTAGCATGTTTAATAGGTAATGTCAAGGTATTTTTCAAAGGGCTTCTACCAATTTACAGTCCCATGAGATAAAAATGAATTCCTATTGCTCTACATGTCCTTCATCACTAATGTCAACATTTTTTAATGTTTAGTCATCAGATGGTATATAAGAGTATTTCTTTGTGGTTTAAAGTTGCATTTTCCTAATTACTAATAAAGTTGAACACCTTTTGTTGTAGTTACTAGTAAGCTGTGTTTCCTCTCTTATGAGGTCTCACTTGAAGTCTTTTACAGTCATCCCTTGGTATCTGTGGAGAACCGGTTTCAGGATCTGCACAACCATGTACCAGAATCCAAGGATGCTTAAGTCTCTTATATAAGATGGTGTAGTATTTGCATACAGCCCAGGCACATCCTCTTGTATACTTTAAATCATCTCTAGATTACTTATAGTACCTAATACAACGCTTTTATATCACTTCACTGGCATGGATTCAAAGTAGTACTCAGCATGCAGCAAATTCAAGTTTTGATTTCTAGAATTTTCTGGAATTTTTTCCCCTAATATTTTCAATCCATGGTTGGTTGATTCCAAGGATGAGGAACCCATGGATACAGAAGGCTGATTACATTTATTTTCCATTGATTGGTTTGCCTTTCTCTCTTAAAAGTTCTTTATTCTGAATTTTAATCTTTTGTTTTACATGTTGCAAATATCTTCTCACTTTGTACCTTGACTTTTCCCTTTCTTTATAGTATTAGTTGTTTTAAACATGTTTTTAAATGAATATGAATGGCCCCCAAATTCGTAAGGCAATATATTTTTAGGTATATATAATACAATTAGCAACTATTTATTTATTTTTTTAAATTAATGAGAAGAAGTACCCCAAGGAGAGGGTAGAACTTCTGAGAATTTAAGATCCTACCTTATTTCTTAAATATAATACCTATAACATTCTACATCTGTTCTTCTTTCATTTATATTTTCATTTGATAGGATTATATAATATCCTCAAATATTTATGAGATATGGAATTTTTACATGTCTGGTCTTGGGATAGTAGATTTATATCTTTACCAGGATATAGAATCCAAAGATTTTCACAGGTCTCTAGAATAGTATGGGTAATATATATGAATAGTATGGCTAGAAGGATGACTGTCAATAACTCTTATCCTTTTATGATTATAATAACAGCCTTGAGACAGCAGATTCAGTGTCTTTAATTCAGAGCTCATCATAATTAGCTTATTTTTTTAAGTGTCATGCTTTCAATAGATCTATCTAGAAAATGTATAGTTTGATGAGTAATTCTGTTTAGTTCTGATGTCATAAAAAATGATTCATCTTCTATAGCAGTATTTTCGAGACGAAAAATATCAAGTGTGCTAAAGGAAAATAATATCTACCATTTATCAAATACTTACTATATAGTTACATCTTATATTTATTATTTTTAATTCTCACAGCACTCTACGAGGTAGGTTTTATAAATGAAGAAAGTGAAGCTTTTTCTTCACTTATATTCTTATATACTTCATTCTATTGTGTGGCTTTGGGAGCCACACAATAAGTGCCAGAGCAATAGTTATTAAGTGGTACAGCAATATTTAGCAAGAGCAACAATTCAAACACAAGCCTAGTAACTTTTAACCTTACACTAATTCACATTGCAAATTATTGAAAAGATCACTAACAATTAGCTATTCAAATGCAGTTAATTAAATCAGAAATATTTAATAAACGCCTACTATGGAAAAAATACTATATTGACTGCTGGCAAATTAGAAGTAATCTAGATTGTATGCTAGAATATAACCTTTAAAATCAGGAAAATATTAAGTCTCACTGGTCCCAGCCACACCTGTCTAGTTGACTGCCTTTGAGCAAGTCATTTAATACCTCTTAGCCCCACTTTACTCAAATATAAATGAAACTACAGTGGAAATGCACTGTGTATGTTTATCTGTGCTGAGTGAAATAGAAGCAGGAATTGAATTTGGTTTTAAAGTAAATGAGGAAAGCAAAAATTAGATACATTCAAAATTACCCTTCAAAATTCTTAAATCACTCAAACTACAGTTTCAAGATAACATCTCTTACTGGATCCTTATACAACTATTTTTATTTTTATTTTTCATCATTTGAACATGACAAGTTGAACAGTAAAAATGGTTGGGCATGTTATACCAAAACTATCTACATTTAAAATCATTCTTTGTGTCAGGTGCAGAGTGTTTGGTCATTCATCGGAGGAGCATCTTTTCTTTGCTTGGTGACTGCAGAAGCAGTGCAGCAGTTGGAGAAGTGGCCTAAGACTTCGGCGTTGGGTAAAAGATGGCCCAAACCAAATAGACTGCTAGTAAATCCACTGGTGAGGAAGCCTCCTGCAAACAGCTAGCCACTAAAGCTTCCAGGAAGAGCAGACTCCTCTAACGATGGTAAAAACAAAACAAAACAAAAAAACAAAAAGAAAACAACAACAACAACAAAAATCATAAAAATGCATCACTACAGGCCCAAGACCTTGGTGCTTAGAGAAATTCATCATTACCGGAAATTGACCAAGCTTCTCCTGTACTTCCAGAGGCAAGTGAGGCATAGTTGGTGGATGTGTTGGAAGACACTACTCTGTGTGCTATCCATGCTAAGAGATGCCCAAAGACATCCAGTTGGTTTGCTGGATATGGGGAGAGAGAGTTTAAGTGAAGGCAGTTTTTATGGAGTTTTGTAGTAAATGCTGTAAAATACTTTAATTCATGACATTTTTGTAAGAAATGACTTATAATAGCTGCATTTATACTTAAGTCATTCCATATTTCACTCAAATGTGAAAAGTGACTGTTCACAGGCCTCAGTAATGAGATGTTGCTCAGGAGTGATAAGTTGCTAATATACAGAAGGGATGGGTGATAGTTCTTGTTCTCATGATGTATGTTTCTATATGTTAATGAGCTGCTGGGTAGATTTTAAGGCACTAAAATTGACAAATAAATGTGTACAAGTCCTTTGGCAATAAACTTAGTTATGATTTGATCCAAGTGTTTAACGATTGGGCCTCAGTTTGACCATACATCACAGTGATAGAATGTGGGCTTTTTCAAGGGTGAAGATATGTCTTAACCACAGTGTAACTTAAAGCTTCCTAAAACAAAAAAGTCTAGTTGGTATCTACAAAATACACCATGTGCATTTGTAATAGCTAGCTATTTCATACATTATAGTGTCAACATTTTAAAATTAAATGTTTTATATTCACCAAAAAAAATTCTTTGTGTCAAGTACTCGTGGTAAATTATGTTTAAGTTTCATGTATTATGAGGCAATCTAAGTGTTTAGGTACAAGGAAAAAAGGAATAACTCCGTTCCAAACAGGACATTTAAATCTAGGTAGGGAAATAATATATCAACTACCTGTGCTAGCTGCTAAGAAAGAACAGGGTGAAGGAGGGAAAGAAAGAAAAGGAAGGGAAAGAAAAGAAAAAACTTTTTTTTAAAGAAAGTTTAAAGAATTTCCAAATAGAATTAAGTTTTACAAAGCGTCATGTCATAAAATCATGTCCTCAGTTTTTCAAAAGTGCTGATTTAATTTTTATTATTTTCAATATAAAAATTCATTATATTATGAACAAAAGTAATTTATTTTACTGTTGCAAGGCTTTCCCAACAAATAATTTTCCAATCAGAAAAAGGAGGGTTGGGGCAGAAAAGACAGTTTGTTATTTATTGTGGTCTTTAACATTCAATAACCTGACTTGCGTTTATCCTATGAACCATATTTAAAGAGCATTATGCTGCTAGGAGATAGAGATAAAATACACCAGAAGATTATCAGTCAATGTTTGTGAAGGAAAATCAACAGATGTAATTGTCACATGAATCCACACTGATTTATTTGTCATGGCAGAAAAACCTGAAAATTTTGGGATGAGTTCCCTCAAACGTGATCTAGATTTAAATATATTTTTTTCGCTGCTTCCTGTTTCGCTATGTAAAAATTTGACCCTACTAAGAGCCTTTGTTTTTTTAAAAAAATAATTTCCCTGATTCTCTAATTGTGACTCAGTCTGGCTGTCTCTATCTGCCTTCTGCCAGGGATCGGCTTCTCTGTGGGAACTGGAAATGTGCACATACCCAAGAAGTAATGCAAGATATCTCACTTTCCCCAGGGGCAGTGCCAACAACCTAGGACTTCAGACTTCTGTACTTCCTTCCCCTAAACCAGTGCCTTGGAGACAGAATGCAAAGGAAATAGCTGGCCAGACTCAGAGGAGGAAGTACTGAAAGAAATATATTCATTTGCCTACTTAGATACAGATCAAAAACTGAAGAAGACTGTAGGTTGCTAAATTGCTTACCATCTTCTTCCCTTTTAGACTCGTTTCTACCTTTAGAAGCTAAATGTGTCCATTTATTGAGAAGTTGATGAAGCTAGTTCAACATCACATGTATGTGTGTGTGTATATACACACATACACTAATGGTTTGTTTAAAGAAAATAAATCTACTTCACATTTATATAGATGTGTCATCTAAAACAGCTGTCCTAAGCATATCCATAGACTGCCTCAGAAGAAACACAGATTTGAAAAGCATTCTGTATTTGAACACTTTTAATTTTAAAATAATTTATTCATATTTTTAAAAGTTCTTCGTTCATGTGCTATTGCACTTCTACCTAATGCATTTTTTTGTCTTTTAGTTAATTTCATGCATTTCTCTTTGTACTCTCCAAGGTGCCTAACAGAGTAGATAATAGACTGTCATCAAATATTTACTGAAATAAAAGTAGTATAACAAGATACCAAATATTAACAGTTGGAGGGACAGGGAAAAGAAAAAAGATAGCACAGAGTACCACGAAACTCTGGGGGCATTAATTTTCAACTCCCTTTCCCATCCCCACCTCCGACCCCCTCACTGTTAAAAATTATTTAAATCAGCATTGCTAGCAAGTTCTCTTAAGGGGTCTTGAGTTTTTATTTAGGTCCATATGCTCCTTCACCTCCACAGTCTGTGTTATACAGTTATGAAATGTATGCATGTGTTCAGGTGTCTATCAAGGGTTATTTTTATAATAATTAGATTCACATAAGTCTTTTGAGACTGAGAAACTGTCTTTTCTTTCTGCAAAATGAAGTTTTCCTTTATCCAGTGTGTGTTGTTATTAAAGCCTCAGGATTTTGCTACAATTCATTCGTTTTTTATTTCATTCATTAAATAAACATTTACTTATTGTCTGTGTGCCACAAACCTTTCTAGGTCTTAAGGACTATTTTTACATTTTCTTTAAATGAAATAAATGAATTGATATCACAGTTGCTATACTAGAGGCCCTTTGGGGATACAGCAAGATTATAGGCTAGGAATTACCCAAGTCAGCTTGGGAAAGTCAAGGAAAGCTTTGAAGACAAGACAGCATTTGAAAGTAAGCAGAAATCTGTACTGAACAAAAGCTAACGTGTAAACGGCAGAGAAAGAAATTTTATTTCATATAATTTCTACTGAAATTCGTGCAACCCAAAGTTTGGTTCACAGGCTTCTGATGATCCACAAACTGTTACCAGGCTATGTCAAGATGGATATAATAATAGAGGATAAGTATTTAGAAACCTTCATTGCAATTTGACAGTAATATTATGTCTGTTGAATCTAAATTTTAAAATTATGGCTTGTTTTTGTATGTGTTTTTTTTTCATTTATCTATTCATTTATATTATATTTAACAAAATTATTGGCTCACAACATACTGAAATTTTTTAAAAGCACATACAGTTTGAGAAGTGCTATTATTAACTGCGTCTAATTCTGCCTGTAACTCTAAAGTTGTTCCCACTTTTAAGCTCCTTTTGAGTTCTAGAGTGTATGCTAAGAGGTTTTTCCACTGACTTCAGGAAGAACCTTCTATCATTTGGATGATTTTAATTAAGGATCATGCTAACAATTCAGCTAGGCTGACCGAAAGCATCCTAAGTATCTCTCAGTGGAGTGAACAGTAGCTGTTTCACATTCTGTGGCACATATTATCAAAAGAAAAAGCAATTAGATGGTGATAGAATACTATTCTATTTAATTCTCCTAATACCTGAAGCCATTAATCCTTACTATTCTTCTGAGAGACAAGCCTTACATCTCTTTGGCATCATCTTTATTTAAAGAACTCAAGTGAATTGTTATAAAAATAAGAGTTTAATTCACATACAAATTCAACTAAGGACAGGTCTTCACCACCTAAAAACCTATGCTCTAAAATGGACAACTCACAGTGACTGTTTATTCCGGCTACATATAGGGGATTTTTTTTTTTTTTAACTATGAAATTACAACAAAGTTTAATATGCATAAGATCACGCATATGAGAAGCATACCAATTTGGAAATTAAACCCTCAAGTCAGAATCTTTCACAAAAATCATTAGATCACGGACTCCTTGTTCTTTACTTTGCACGTAGTTTATTCTAGCTAGATAGATTCCTTCCTGTCAATCTTATCAGTAGCAGCTTTCTTTTTAGATTTCAATGAATCAGTACACCAATGCAGTTCATAAAGCATCAAAAGATTTGATAGGAATTACAAAACAAAAATTAGAACTTAATGAACATATTCAGTTAATCTTAGAAGTGTAAAACCACAAACAAATATTTTAGATACCACTCTGTGTGTAAGGCCTTACACATTTTGTTACCTCTTTTCCTCTAACTGTTCAGAGTATTCTTTTGGTTTTATAAAATTAAGTACCTTCAGTTCTCTTGTGCCTATTTTTGAGATATTGGAAAATATAGACATATACGTAAGAAAACCAAGTAGTCAGCCAACAGCAAGATGAAAAAGAAAATAAACAGGCTAGACTCACTTCTTTGCGATCCCTCCTTCAAGGAAAAAGAAATACACAGTATATACCTGTGTTTCTCAAACTCATTTTAGACCAGATAATTCTTTCTGCGGAAGGTGGGGTAGGGGGCTGAAGGAAAGCTGTCCTGTGAACTCAAGGATGTTTATTTAGCAGCATCCCTGGCATCCACCCACTAGATGTCAGTAGCACACCCTTGCCCCCTTGACATGACACTACTCAGCATGCCCCCAGTTGAGAACCACTGGTTCACAGCACAAAGCAGTAGTTTCAACTTTGTTTTCCCAACATGTACCATCAGTTTACAAAAACAATTGGACATGCATCTCTATCCAGGTGTATTTATAAATTACATTCGTGGACTGCTGTAAATATACATTGCAAAAGATAGAAACATAAATTTAAACACAATGAGAAAAAAACACATAAATAGATGTGCTAATAATTTTATCCTGAACCCCAGAGGATTATCTTTGTACTCCCAGGGATGTATACACCATACTTTTGAGACAACTGGTATAGATTATTTTCAGATTTGATTATCTTATTGGCTCATTTACTGTTTTTTACAGTGAGACTGCGAGGTCATTGGGTTGTGTAGAACATATTCGTGCCATTTATAAACTAGATATAATCACTCCAATATACAATGTAACAGAAATGCTGTGGCCTTTACTGAAAAGTGAAATAACTCTAAAGCTTCCAGAAAAATGTATTCGTTAAATTTTTGGTTCTACAGAAAAGTATACTCATAAGACCAATGACTCAGGATGAATTCTCTGGTTTACTTTGGTCTTTCTTTCTCCTGTATCTGGTACTTGTATTCAAGGATAGACAGATGTCAGCATTTCTACCACACAGTCCTACAACCCTATTTACAAATGGACCCCACTAATGTAGCAAGAATTGGTTATTATATCCTCACATGACAATCAATTTTTATTTAACAAAATTTGTGGAATACATACCAAGGAATATAAGAACTGTAATTATGCTATTGCTGAAGGTCTCTTATTTTATGCCATAATGATTAGCCATAAAATAGTAGTTTGGGAGAATATTATCAGTCATTCATGTAGTAACTCATGGTTGATAATGATGCAGCTGGTATCAATGTCATCACTCCAGATTTACACAGGTAACATAAATCAACATTTGAAGCGAACCACAATAATTGCTATGGTTATTTGCCTTTATCTTGAATGCTTCTAACTACCATATGGGTCTCAATTTTATAACTGGCACCAGTAAATATGGCTCTATATTAAGTGAACTCAGTGGTCCCATCAGAGAAACAGTATTCATAGCTTTTTAGAGGGTATAAAATTTAGAAATTAGGTACTTTTAGTGACTCCTGTGGTTCATCACCCTCAAGCAAAACAATTTAAGCTAGTATACAGATATCTGTAAATAATGAAGAGTATCATTTGCCTTCTAAATAGTAACACTCATTCAATAAATGTTGAATTAGGATCACAGAATGTAAGCTTAAGAATCATAGAATCCGAATGTAAGTTGAAGAATTTTACTACTTCTAAGTTTTATTTGAACATGCTTTTGAGAGGAAATACTTTAAATAATCTGCAAAGTAAAATTCCTTTAGTGGCAGACTTTTTGGTGATGTAATTAATATCGTACTAAAAATGAAACTGCCATCATCCATTTCCTATTATGACCAAGTGACCGATACTGAACTTGCCCTCCTATAAACACCTAGAAAACCAGACAAAATATATGAAACAACTTTTTTTCAGATGCTAGACAACAGAGCACAGGACTGTGATCCCTAAGAAAAGGAAAACCTATCAATAAATCCTATAATAATCCCAGATTTTAAGCAGGAGTCATGTTTTGAAAACTGGTACAAGGAGAGGGAACATAGGCAGAATACAATGGCCTCAATGAATTTGAGGAAACAGAAATGGGAGTTTAGGGAGACTGAGACTGGTAGAATTTTCAGGGTAGAATACCAAAGAAAAGGGAGTTACAAAGAGAAAATGATCCAGAAATGTACAGAAATCCCCTTGAGTTATTGGTTGAATATTAAAGTGTATGTAAGTAGGATTAAACTTCATGACTGAAGGCAAAGAAAACTGCTAGGGAGATATAAGCTGAAAAGTTCCATAACTTACTCAGGGCTGGAGGTCATTTGGGATCCTTCAAGTCAAAGAGGAAGAGACTTTGTTGAATACCCAGAGCATTGTATAGCTATCTTCCAAAGGGTTACACATTGGTATTAATAGTAAGAGTAAATTAGTCCTAGAAAAAAAAGCATACTTTGGGGCCAGGTGCTGTGGCTCACACCTGTAATTCTAGTGCTTTGAGAGGCCAAGATGGAAGAACTCCTTGAGGACAGGAGTTCAAGGTTACAGTGAAGCTATGACTGTACTTCTGCAGAGTGAGACTCTGTCTCTTAGAAAAAGAAAAGTAAAAAGGGTACTTCAGATCCACCCTAATAAAGCTTTCAATCAAGCCTCAAAACTAGCAAGCTGATTCTCAAGAAGTTTAAACCCAGTCATAATTAAAGAAAGACAACAAAAATCAAACCATCAAAAATGTAAAAATTGTTTCCCAAGTAACAGTTTTTCCGGTTGTGGTTCACCTTTTGTGAACTTTTTTTCAGATACTAGACAACAGAGAGCACAGGACTGGTTCACCTTTTGTGAACTTCAACCAGAAAAAAGAAAATCAGTCAGTAGGTACAATACCTACTGAAATGACAGACATGATAGAATTAGGAAAGACTATAAAACAGCTATTATAAACATATTCAATGTGCTAACAAGGAGAGAAGTGAAAGATATTTTTTAAAGGACCAAATAGAAGTTCTAGAATTAAAAAATACAGTATCTAACATGAAAAATTTACTTGATGAATAGAACAGTAGATTAAATACCACAAAGAAAATATCAGTGAACAATAAGATATGGCAATCTAAAATACACCAATTGAAAAACAGAGTGGGGGAAAAAGGGCTGAAAACAGTGGCCAGTGGCCTATGGAGGTTATCAAGGAATCCCTGGTGAAAAAAATAGAAAGGGAGGAGAAACAAATATAGTTGAAGAAATAAGCCGGGTGCAGTGGATCACACCTATAATCCCAGCACTTTGGGAGGCCGAGGCAGGAGGATTGCTTTAGGCCAGGAGTTCGAGACCAACCTGGGCAACACAGAGACCCTTCTCTCCACAAAAAATAAAAATGAACAATTGGTAAGGCATGGTGGCACATGCTTGTAGTCCTAACTACTCAGAAAGTTGAGGCGGGAGGATCACTAGAGCCCAGGAGTTGGAGGCTGAAGTGAGCTATGATTGTACCACTGTCATCTAGCATGGGCAACACAGAGAGACCCTGCCTGCCCAACCCCCCAAAAAAAGAAAGAAAAAAGAAAAAGGAAGAAAGAAGGCTGAAATGTTTTTGAAATTTGAACTAAAAATCCATAAAACCAACAACAAATCCCATGCAGGATAAAACCAAGAAAACCACACCAAGACACATAATAATTAAATTACTGAAAACTGGTTATATAGAAACAAAATAATAATAACAGCCAGAGGAGGGTAAGTATTACATGCAGGGGAACAAATAGGAGAATGACTGCTGACTACTACTCATCGGAAAGAATCAAGCCTCAAGATGATGGAACAAGACTTTAAATGTACAGAAAGAAAAGAAATGAAATTCTATAATTAGTAAAACATACCATACCCTTCAAAAATGAAGGCAAAATACTTTTTTAAAAAGCTGAGTGAATTCACTTCCAACAGACCTTATTTAAGCCTAATGTAAGCAGAAGTAAAAAAAATAACAGAGTAGAAATCAATGGAAATGAAAACGGAGAATCAACAGAGAAAAACAAACAAAACCAGAAGCTGGTTCTTTGAATAGATCAACAAAATAGATAAATCTCTACCCAGTATAAGAAAATAAAAAGGAGAGAAGATAAATTGTCAGTATCAGAAGAAAAAAAAAAAGAGAAAAGTCATCACTACTGATCACATGGACGTTATGCGGACAATAAATGTTACAAACAACACTTTGTCCATAAATATGATAACTTAAATGAAAAATTCCTTAAAAGATGTAATTTACCAAAATTCACACAAAAAGAAATAGATAACTTTAATAGCTCTATATTTATTAATGATATTGAATAAATAATAAACTTTCAAAAAACAAAGTACCAGGTCCAGATAGTTTCAATGGTAAATTCTACCGAACATTTAAGGAACAAGCAATAACAATTCTCCACAATCTCTTCCAGAAAACAGAAGTAGATGGAACACTCCTAATTCAATCTATGAAGCCAGCATTATCCTAATACCAAAACCAGAGAGAGACATTACAAGAAAGGAAAACAATAGAACAATATCTCTCATAAACATGAATATAAAGACTCTCAACAAAATATTAGCAAATCATATCCAGCATTTCATAGGAAGAATTATATAACATAACCAAGTGAGATTCTAGGTGTGCAAGGCTGGTTCAACAGTTCAAATCAATAAATGTAATCCACCATATAAACAGGATAAAGAAGAAAAATCATATAATCATATCAACTGAAGACCAAAAAGGGAGCTGGGAAAAAAGTCCAACACCCATTCATGATTTAACCCCCTCACTCCCCATGACATGAGTTCATCTATGTTAACAAACCTTCTTATATACCCCCAAGCCAAAAAAAAAAAATTTAAAAAACCTTCTCAGCAAATTTCCTCAACTTTGTAAAAAACATCTACAAAAAACCTATAACTAACATACTTAATGATGAGAGACTGGCCACTTTCTCTCTAAGATGGATAACAAGACAAAGATGTTACCCATCTGTCATCATTCCTCTTCAGCATCCTACCATACGTCCTAACTAGAGCAATAGTTAGGAAAAGAAGAAATAAACCTGCCTTTATTTGCAAATGACATGACTGTCTGTAGAAAAAAAAAATGTAAAGACTCTACTAAAAACCTCTCGGAACCAAAAAGCAGTTATAGCAAGGTCACAGGATACAAGGTTAATAAGCAAAAGACTATTGATTTCCTTTATGCCAGCAACAAACAACTACAATTTGAAAATTAAAAAAAAAAAAACAAAAACTAAAACCATTTATGATGGCATCCCCACACATACAACAAAAAGAGAATAGAAAAGAAATACTTCAGTATAAACCTAACAAAATATGTACAGAACCTGCATGCAAAAGCTATGGAACATCGATGAAAGAAACCAAAGAAGATCTAAATAAGAGAAATTCTAAATTCATGGATTGGAAGACTCAATTTTGAAAAGATTCAATTCTTCCCTATTTGTTCTATATATTCAACACAATCTCAATTAAATTTCCAGCAAGTTGTTTTGTGGATAACAAATTATCCCTAAAGTTTATATGAAATAGGAAAAGACCTAGAATAACCAACACAATACTGAAAAAGAACAAAGTTGAAGGATCACACTGTAGCAGATCTTAAGACCTACTACAAAGCTACAGTAATCAAGAGAGCATAGTATCTACAAAGAACAGAAAAAGCAATGAAACAGAATAGAGAGACTGGAAAAAGACACACATTTATATAGTTAACTGGTTTTTGACAAAAGGAAACAAGTAATTCAATGGAGAAAGAATAGTATTTCAACAAATAATGCTGAAACATTGGATGCCTGTATGTAAAACTATGAACCTAAACACAAACCTAACATCTTTCACAAAATAAACTAAAAATGGAACACAGATCTAAATGTAAATAAACTAAAAATGGAACATAGATCTAAATGTAAAATGTAAAAGTATAAAACTTCTTTAAAAAAAAAAACAGGAAAAATTATACGTGACCTGGATTTTGATGAGTTTTTGGATGTAACACCAAAAGCATACTCCATGAAAAAATTAATTTGCAGGATTTAATTAAAATTAAATTCTTTGCAAAACACACTGGTAAGAGAGTCAAAAGACAAGATATAAACTGGAAGAAAATATCTGCAAAACACATATCTGACAAAGGACTTGTATCCAAAATATACAAAGACTCTATAAAGTTCACCAATATAAAAACAGATAACTCAATTTTAAAAATGGGCATAAGGTCTGAATGGGCAGCTTACCAAAGAAAATACACAGATAGCAAATATGCATACAAAAAATGATCAACATCATCTTTCATTAGGGGAATGCAACAGTGAGATTTGTTGTTTTAACACTACATACCTATTAGACTGGCTAAAATCCAAAATACTAACCAACTGCTGGTGAGGATACAGAGCAACAGGAACTCTCATTCATTGCTGGTAAGAATGCAAAATGGTATATTTTGGAGTACAGTTTGGCAATTTCAGAAAAAGTTAAACACAGTCTTACTACATAATCCAGCAATCATGCTCCTAGGTATTTACACAACTGTCTGAAAACTTATGTCCACACAGAAACCCACACATGGATGTATTTTATACCAACTTTATTCATAATCACCAAAAACTAGAAGCAACAAAAATGTCCCTCAATAGGTACATAAATACTATTCAGTGATGCAAAGGAATGAGATATTAAGCCACACAAAGACATGGATGAATCCTAAAGGCATATTACTACATGAAAGGAGTCAGTTTGAGAAGTCTACATACTCTATGATTTTAACAATATGATATTCCAGAAAAGGCAAAACTGGAGAGATGGTAAACATATAAGTTGGCTGCCAAAAGAAGGGAGTGGGTCGGGGGTACTGAACAGGTGAAGTACAGGATATTCTTCGGGATATTCTTGGCAGTGGAACTATTCCCTATGATACAGTAATGATGGATATATGACACTATATATTTGTTACAACCCATAGAACTTTGCAGCACAAAGTGTGAATCTTAAAGGATACAAATTTAAAATAAATTCTTTAGGAGGTCTGGGAATCCCAGGATTGAATGCAGAATGTGACAAAACAATCTATTTGTAATACACATGGTGTGAAACAATCTTACTGAAGATGGTGGGTGGGAAAGGGTGCTGTCCTAAGTAACCCTGGAAACTAGTGAAGTCTGTAAAACTAAACATGAAAGACATTATATGTAAGCACTATACTCTAGTTCAGGGGTCCCTAACTGGTACCAGTCCATGGCCTGTTAGGGCCTGTTAGCAAGTGGGCCACACAGCAGGAGGTGAGCGGTGGGTGAGTGAGCATTACTGCCTGAGCTGCACCTCCTGTCAGATCAGTGGTGGCATTCAATTCTCATGCAATTGCAAACCCCACTGTGAACTGCTCATGCGAAGGTTCTAGGCTGCACACTCCTTACAAGAATCTTAACGCCTGACGATCTGAGGTGGAACAGTTTGATCCCGAAACCATTTCCCCCACCTACCCACCCCCACCCCAGTCCATGGAAAAATTGTCTTCCACAAAACAAAAAGGTTGGGGACTGCTGCTCTAGTTGATGAAGCTGTTTCCCAAAGGGATATGGATTAACAATTCTGAAAACCACTATACATGTATAGTGGAACTGTATACATGTATTGGAACTGAAAAAATAAGTAAATGAGTGGGAGTCCAAGTTTCGAATTGTTGGAGTGGGAGTTTACAGATATGCCAGGGGAGAAGGGTAGAATGATCCAGATAGTAATGGATTAGAGTCAGAAACATTAATATGAACTTACATTTAGCTTATATAGATACAGGTGGTCACATACAGAAATGCTTATCAATATGTGTATATACACGAATCAGTATAAACACATTTAATTTCTTGCTCTGTCAGCAGAGAGGACCTAGAAGCAACGATGCCCCAGTATAAACAAACATACCTAGTGCCTAGATCATGACTTCTAATATTATTCTCCAATAAAAGGAACCAGGGCTCTTTGGAGAAATGGCTCATTACAGGACTGGAACAGGAAATATGTAAGATGGGCCTGGAGCATCTTGTAGTGCCAAAAAGTAAGGATATATTCAAACAAAGGTACAATGATGGGGTCAAGGATCCAACTAAAAGAGTACCCAATGGCTAAAGCTAGAACAATTTGAGTGATAGAATATATAAAGAACTATTGGATAGTAATGCAAGGTATGAATAAATATCCATGAGTCTAGTGATATAAATAAATAAATAAATGGGGTAGGAGGGTGGACAAATCTGTGCAGAACAATTTCAAGTAATCTGTGTAGACACTCTACCCTCAAGGAGGTGGAATATAACACATCATTCCTTAAGTGTGCTGAGCACAGTGACTTCCAAAGAATACAGAATGGAAATAAGGGGGAAAAAGTAACTTTACAGCAGAGAAACCTAGCAAACACTATCTCAACAAGGTGATCAACATTAACAATGTTAAGTCATGTTGATAGTGTGTACCCTTGACATGATGTAATGAAAATGGCACTTTACCTTTGTGTCTCCCTGTAAATAAAAACCTTAAACTGAGTCTAACTATGATTAAAAAAAAAAAAACTGCAAATCCCAGTTGAGGTACTTTTACAAAACCTTATCAATACTCCTCAAAACTGTCAAGGTCATAAAAAATAAAGAACGCCTGAGAGACTGTCACAGCCAAGATGCCAAGATGGATCGGATCTCAGAAGATATGACAACCAAAGTTAAATGTGGTATCCTAGATGGCATCCTGAAACAGAAAAAGAATGTTAGGTAAAAATAATCTAAATCAACGACGGTGAAACCCCGTCTCTACTAAAAATACAAAAAATTAGCCGGGCACGGTGGCAGGTGCCTGTAGTCCCAGCTACTCGGCAGGCTGAGGCAGGAGAATGGCGTGAAGCTGGGAGGCAGAGCTTGCAGTGAGCTGAGATCGCGCCACTGCACTCCAGCCTGGGTGACAGAGTGAGACACTGCCTCAAAAAAAAAAAAAATTCTGAATCAAGTAGGAAATTTATTTAATAATAATGGTTAATATTGTTTCATTAAGTATGATGAATGTACCATATTAATAAGGATGTTAATATAAGTAATAGGGAAATTGGGTGTGAAGCATATGGGAACTCTGTACCATCTTGGTGATTTTTCTATAAATCAAAAACTATTCTATCATTAATATTTATTTTTAAATATCATAAAAACGTTAGTAACACAAAAAGCTGGTTCTTTGAAAAGATTAATAAAACTGAAAAATCTTTAGCCAGATTAATCAAGGAAAAAAGAGACAAGCTACAAAGTATCAATATCATAAATGAAATGGGGACATTACTACAGATTCCATAAACACTAAAAGGATAAGAAAATGTTATGAATAGCATTATGTCATTAGGTCGAACAACTTAGAAGAAATGTGTATCTGTTTCTTATGTGATATGAAACCTGAGAAGCAGAATTAAATTTCAGTGGTTTCTTCTCCCCAGCTTCAATTATGTCTTTGGCTATTTGTATACAGAATAAATTGTGGGTTTTTTTTTTTAAGTAAAGTAACTTTTCAGGATTATTATAGTATTTTGTGCATAAAAATTCTAGATACTACTAGCTGAGAGGCTAATTAAAAATTGTGGTTAGAGTCGCAATAATGCCTTTTCTTCTTTCTCAGAATCGTGTGTGTGTGTGTGTGTGTGTGTGTGTGAGACAGTCTCGCTCCATCACCCAGGCTTGAATGCAGTGCTGTGATCGCAGCTCACTGAAACCTCCACCTTCCAGGCTCAAGCGATTCTCTCACGTCAGCCTCCTGAGAAGCTGGCACTATAGGCGCGCCATCATACTAGGCTACTTTTTGTGGGTTTTTTTTTTTTTTTTTTTTTTTTGGTAGAGATGAGGTTTCACCATGTTGCCCAGGCTGGTTTTGAATTCCTGGACTCAAGCGATCCATCCACCTGCCTTGGCGTCTCAAAGTGCAGGTATAACAGGAATGAGCCACCATGCCCAGCCTCTTAGTATCATATTTTAGTATCAGATTAATTTTGCAAGAATGGTAAAGGGAAAGATTTCTAAAATTAATAATGCATTGTCTTCCCTGTGTGTCCTGCTACTTAGCTCAACTGTGACTATATGCCTTATGAAAGAAGCTAAGTATCATTAAGATAACTCAAAACATTTCAGTAAAATACACGACCTTTATGTGACTGGTTATAAACATATGGAAAGACTTTTTAATCTGAAACCTTATGTATCTCAAAGCTACATACAACGACAGGATTATACTGTAGATTAGAGAATCCAGATTAATAAGTATTTCATAATCAAACTCTAAAAAATTCCAGTGAACGATCTTTCATTCCAGATGTCCTCTGGAACTAGCTTCCTCTCCCCTTGTTATTTATAACAACAAGAAATTTTGTAAACGTTGAATGTACAATGGCATAGTTGGCTTTTTTACCCTCAGAAAATTATGGTTATTTTCTATTTCGTACGAACAAGATTGTTATTTATTATCTAGATTAGCTACTTTGTTGAGCTGCTTTGTGTGTAGCAGTGTGGTCATTAGTTGAAGTTGTATGAATGACAGTGATAAGAATAGATCATCAGTTGCAGGAAGCTTGTCAAAACACAATTCCCCTTAAGTTGTGGTAGCCATTATTATCATTTCTATATACTAGGTGTCCTCTTGAAAGTGACAAAAACACAGCCGACTGCTGCCATTTTGATAAAACTTGTGTTATCACTTTATAAGACTTGTTTTTCTTCTTCCACCTCCAAACGATCTACATCAGTTGCTCTCAATCTTCAATCTAAAAGCTCCTTTCTTCCTCCCTCAACTTTGCTCACTACCTGTCCTCTCTCCTTTCTCTTACCCTCTCTATCTCCTCTACCTCTTTCTTCCCTTCTCAAGTTGAAGAGGTGGACTCTTCGCTACTCTTTTATCCAGTAAAGAAAAGGAGTATTGTGGAAAAAGCACAGTCTTTAGAATTATTAGACTGATACAAGTGTGAATGTTGGCATTATCAAAGAAAAGTTACTTCATTTTTATGTGCCTCAGTCAGTGGTGTTTCAGAACCAGATCACACTGGCTGGAGAACCAATTGTGCTCATCTCTTCTTCCCAAATCCCCTTCACTGACTTCAGGCTGGTAGCTTGAAATCAGCCATAACAGGAATATTTACACCACAGAAATCAGCAAACACTACAAATCAGAACTTTTACCCCAAAGAACTAGTTTTTAAAACATTCACCAACACATCATCAGCTTCAGTTTCCACCTCTCTCAAACAGGACTAATAACACCAACCCTGCAAATATGTTGTAAGGACTTCAAATAATATCAGTAAAACACCTAGCAAAATTCTAGTCACATAAAAGGCACTTAGTATGTGGTATATAGCAAAAAGTTATGGTACTATAAATGAAATCTGGCTATATGAAAGTAGAGCATAAATAATAAGTAATGCAGTCATTCATGTATAAGTATAATAAAGCAATTGAACTTTAGTAGAGGTGCCGGGTCCTTTAGGATTTTTAAATGAAAAGAATTAATACAGAATTCCATATACTTTTCCTCAATTAATGAGAACAATCTTCTTTTTGCATCTTCTCCTATTTTCCAGGTTTCTTTTTAATTATGATCTCTTGTGTTCAAGTTGTCAGCCACTACTACATATCCCATAAAAACAAACTGTTTGAGTACTAGTAGCTGGCACGAATTCAGAAAAGCACAAGCACTGGAAAAAGCACTGCGAAGGAGAAATCATACATATAGGTAACTTAGTATATAATTTAGTAATATATGTTTGAGGCTTTCACAATTCTTTAAGGTTTCAGAAATTTGAGCAAAATCCCTCAACTATAATTTATGTGTAATAAATTGACTTGCAATATCTCATATAAAAAAGATTACATGGAGGCTTCCAAAGTATCTCAGAGGAAAAAAATAGTTACGAATCTGTCTAGAAATATATTATTTTTCCTCCCTTCACTAAGTAATGATTTGAATGATTTTTTTTTACCTTGGCCCCCATAAATGAATGTGAGGTCTTCATTTCAGATTATCATCATGTTGCTAACATCACATAAATGAAATAAATTATTTAAGTAATTTTTAAATTTTCAAGCTCTTTGTTTTAAGTTGGTACACACATTTCCCACTTAGGCCCTCATATCCCTCATATCCTCTGATGCTGATTTATTATTCCTATTGAATTTTTTTATGGTGATCTTACGTCTAAATGTTTGGACTAGTGTTAAGAAGCACTCAAACTGCATTTTTATTAATGACACAAGTCTTATGATAACTGATGATTCTAAACTCAATTCAGTAAGCAACACTCAATACGAAATTTGAAAACTATAATCACAAAAGAGAAATAACCCCTACAATATGGAGATTCAAGTTTCTCCACTGAATAGTTTGAAACTTTATCAAGAGGGGAAATGCTTTTCTAGTCTAAAACATAATTGTAATGTAGGGCATTATCCATTATTAATTACAAAAACTATTTACAGAACGTTTCAGAATTATCATGTTCTATAGTCATTTAAGTTAGTTATTTATACTATAGTTGTAGGTCTACCCCTTGCCTGCCTCTCTGGAATCATCTTACACTGCCTAGGCTCCTTACTTTCCTGGCTCAGCATTATCCCCTTCCTTCAGTTTTTCTAATACATCATCCTTCTTCATTCCATGGGGACCTTCCCATGCTATTCCCTCAAAATGGAATGTTCTTCCAGTGCTTTTTCCACTTTAATCCCAACTCAAAGATCAATTCCTCAGAGAAGTCTTCCTGTATTTCCCAGTGAAGGTACTGTTCCTTTTTAATATATTTTTTCTATTAGAAGCATGTTTCTTTCCTTTACAGTACTTACTAGTTTATATTTATGCATTTGTCTGTTTAACCTAAACTTCAGGCTCCTTGAGAGCAAGAACCTTGTCAATCCCTGCTTACCATTATTACATCAGCAAGTAGCATGGTCTCTGGCACATAGTAAGTGAATATTTAATGAATTATATACATAGATTACTACAAATTAAGCTGCAAGGTATATAAATCAACATCAGATGCAATTCAAGATCACAGCATAATTGCTGAATCCCAAGTAACACTGATCCAGATAACTTAAGATCATACTGAAACCTACAGCAACCATTCGAAAGTATTAAACTCCAAACACGTAATTCAGGCCTTATGTTTTTCCAAACAGCATGGCAATTTTAATTCTCAGGCAGTATCACACACTTAATTCATGGTACTATTCTCACAACTATTCATGTTACCCACTGTTCCTTTAAACAACTAAAGAAAATATTCAGCTGAAGACTATTCTGGAACTAGCAAAATTTAGACTAATTTTCTGTATAAAGAATCCCTGAAATAGAATCCCTGAAATAGAATTTTGAAATTGCACCTGATAGCCAGGCATGGTGCTCACGCCTGTAATCCCAGCTCTTTGGGAGGCTGTGGTGGGAGGATAGTTTTAGGCCAACAGTTCAAGATCAGCCTAGGCAACATAGTGAAACCCTGTCTCTACAAAATGATAAAAAAAGAATTAGCCAGGCATGGTGGCACACGCCTGTAGTCTCAGCTACTCAGGAGGCTAAGCTGGGAGGATCACTTGAGCACGGGAGTTTGAGGTTACAGTGAGCTATGATCACGCCAATGCACTCCAGCCTGGAGGAATGAGGGAGGGAGTCTCTCTGTCTGTCTGTCTCTCTCTCTCTCTCCCTCTTTCTCAAAAAAAAAAAAATGCAACAAATATGGCTTAACATACAGTTACTAATTCTGATGAGTTGGTTATGTCTGTCCAAAGCAAGTATTAAGAAGATTCTGAGGCTGCGTCTAAGCTCGGTGAAAGAGAACTATGAGAATGGGAGAAAACATCTGCAAGCTATGCATCTGACAAACAACTAATATCCAGTATCTACAAACAACTTGAATCAGCAAGGAAAAAAAAAAATCCCATCAAAAAGTGGGCAAATGACAGGAACAGACATTTCTCAAAAGAAGATATACAAATGGTCAAGAAACATGAAAAAATGCTCAACATCAGGGAAATGCAATTTAAAACCACAAGGAGATATCACCTTATTCCTGCAATAATGGCCACGCAAGAATGGCCACAACTAGAGTCAAAAAACAACAGATGTTGGCATGGATGTGGTGACAGGGGAATGCTTATACACTGCTGGTTGGAATGTAAATTAGTAGTACAACCTCTATGGTAAACAGTATGGAGATTTCTTAAAGAACTAAAAGTAGATCTACCATTCCATCCAGCAATAGCATTAACTGGGTATCTACCCAAAGGAAAGGAAGTCATTACATCAAAAGACACCTGTATATGTATGTTTATTGTTGTATAATTCACAATTGCAAAGACATGGAACTAACCTAAGTGCCCATCAACCAATAAGTGAATAAAGAAAATGTGGTATACATACACCATGGAATACTACTCTGCCATTAAAACAACGACAACAACAAAATAATGTCTTTTGCAACAACTTGGATGAAACTGGAGAAAATTATTTTAAGTAAAGTTAACTCAGGGATGGAAAACCAAATACCATATGTTCTCTCTTATAACTGGGACCTAAACAATGGGTACACAAAGGCATTCACAGTGATATATAATGGACTTTGGAAACTCAGAAGGCGGAGGTTGGGAGTGGGGTGAGAGACAAAAAAAAAAACCTACATATAGGGTACAATGTACACCACTTGGGTGATGGGTACACTAAAATCTCAGACTTCACCACTATACAATTCATCTATATAACCAAAAACCACTTGTACACTAAAAGCTGTTGAAATTTTAAAAAGTTTAAAAGAAGTAAATTAAGTAAATTAAATAAGTACGTTTAATTGGTGAAAAAAGGGCATAGTTATCACACACACACACACACACACACACACACACACACGTAACCATGTATATACACAGAATATTTCTGGATGGATACAGTTCCAACAGTTGTTAGTTCTGGGAGAGTCCTGTGAAATTTGGAAGTCTAGGTTAGAAGACGTAGATCTCCCTTTCATCATAAACCCTTGCAGGTATCACAATGTTTTCTACTCTCATATACGACTTTTCCCCCCAAAAAAGTTAATAAAAATGTTCAAAGTTAAATTAACAGCATTAATCATTCCCATAACTTAACTATAAGGGAAAAAAACACATGTCAAAATCATGGCAATGAAAGGGACCTAAGATAATACTTTCCTATTTTATTAATGAGAAAACTAAAATAGTTAAGATAATTTTGTTAAGTAGTTAATTCCAAAGGCAATAGTCAATTCAGTGACATTAGTTCTAAAATCTAGGACCTCCTTATTCCCAGTAATCTGCCATGTACTATATGATTCTATCTCATCTTAGTACATTACAGTAAAACTTGTCTAAAAGCTTCTTGCAACCTAGGTAAGCAATACATAGCAATCACAATTTGACAATAATTTACACCAATTTGAAAACAGGTAGCTCACAAGCTGCAATCTGGCAAGGATGATTATTTTTTAAAGCAAGCTCAGGAAAGAGCTGAATTTAGCACATGAAGGAACCAGCTATTGCCTTCAATTGTCCTTGGAAAGTAAATGCCAAAGTCAAAGGGTTCGTGCATGAACACTCTACACTGTTTAAATCCAGAGGCAGAAGCAGGAAGCAGGAAATTAATTAGCCTCTCATTTGTTATCTGTGGCCTTCTTGACTGACCTAATAATAACTCATCTCCAACATTTAGAGAATTTGGTCTAGAAACAGTTTAAACTTCATCTAACCTATGCAACTCATTTTATCAGGTGCCAACCTGATAAGAAAAGTACCCATTAACTCTTCTTCTTCCACAGGATTCTTGCTTAGAAGTGTATATTAGGCCATCACTCAATTTCATGTGTTAGAAAAGTACAGCATTTGTTTCTGCAAAAGTTGATGAAAGCTTTTTAAATTTTCCAGCTTAACAGAGTGGAAACCGTATTACCATGCAAACTTTAATCTTGGACAGTAAATAAAAAATGACAAATATTGAAAGAAGTCTGAACCCAACTCCCAAATAATTAGGATATAGAAAGACATAAGATGAGGGACACAGATATAGTATTCTAAAATGACTACTAGGAAAAGAGCTATAAGACCTAAATTAAGCATTTAGAGAAAGGTATAAGAATATTGCTGACATTTTCCAAGGACAGAAAAAAAATTATATGCTAATACGTTTTTCATATCATACTAAATTATTAGGGGACAAAATTTCTTCTTGAAAACTTTTTAGAATAAGTAACAAGCAAAAGGAAGAGGCTGCATCAACTAAGTAAAATCTGTCCTAATGTCACTGCCTCACTTAAAAGTAATTTTCATAGAGTATGAATCATAGTCTTAAATATGGAAATAACTAATAGTGGGGAGGGGGGAATTAAGGAGAAAAGTCTTGATTACAATATGAACTTTTTTAAAAAAAAAAAAAGCTTGTTTTTCATAACTGATATCCTGGAAAGCTTTACCCAACCATTAAAATTCCTCTCTTGTCATGTGAAAGGATAAAGACCCAATGACAATATGTTAGCTTTCCTTCTGCACTTTAATGCCACAGTTTCAAAAAAATCTACATTTTTCAAAAATGGATTTCAGGATTTGAATCCTTACTTCTAGGAAAAAGGAAAGAAGTAGTGGTAAAGGTAAGGCTACTCGAATCTTAGTCAATCTCAGGGTGTGCCACTAAGGTTCACAGAAACAGAACAGGTTCCTTCCATACCTGTTAGACTCCATCATGACCTTAGGCACTTCTTTACAGATCTACTGAAAATCATCTCCCCAGAAAAATGTACCCAAGAACATACATACGAAATGTGTAATTTCAGGGAATACCCAAACACCAAATTAGGACCTTTGCCCTAAAAAGGAACAACAGGTATACACACTTTCCACCAAGGCAAATGCTATATTTAGATGTACATTACAATGTGATGGTGGCCTTTTATGTTTCATTTATTCTGTGCATTCTATGACAAAGGCCATTATCTCAGGAAACATGAATACCAAGAACAGACCACACTGCCTTACTGGAGACACACTGGACTGTTAAAACTATTTTCCCATTGATCATTCCTCCAGGGCAGTGGTTCAAAATAGGGGCTATGCACCCCCGTAGGTGGCACATTGGAATTTGTGTGTATTTGGTTACTACAGTAACTAGAGGTTGCTATGGAAATGCAGAGTTCTCTCCTCCCCACAACACTGGGGAGGAAGGGATGGAGAAATGGACACGTATGTTAGAATGGAATGCATGGATATTCCCACAAAGTGACAAACGTCCAACCACACATGCACATAGGTGAAAATCCATTTATAATTATCTAAGCCTGAAACTGAAATCTGTTTTACACATAAATATAAGATATTTTTACACAATTTTAAGACACACTGAATTTCTAGGAATGCAATTACCAGGTAAATAGATGAAGTCTGTATTTTGTTTTGTTTGGAACTTTACCAAGGTTGTTGACCTTTTTGAAAAATCATGTCACCAATGACAACACTATTTGTGGTATTTGAGCTGCCAATGAAACATACCTTTATTAATCTGCATTTGGAAATACTGCAATTATGATGATTCTACACATAGGTGCAAGGACTTCACTATCTCATTATGTCTCCTAGTGTATATGCTTAAGTGTTTACATACTGAAATACAAATTATTTTATTCTAAATTATTTTCCTTATTATTTCTCATTTATATTACTTAGGTATTACTATATAATCACTTTTGACTTATGTTCAGGTGATTTTCACTATATGTCAATTTTACTTCAGGATAGGCTAAAGAGAGCATCACAAAATATTTGCTACAACAAGCGGGCAATAGGTCTGATAGGATTGAGAACCACTGATCTAGGGATAACAATATTAGATTTAAATGAAAAACCTGTTAAACATCTTTACAAACAGAATATTCAATGGTAGCTTACAGGATTAATTTGTAGAATATTTTTATCTATCTCATTATGCTAGGGGCTGGGATTACAGCCAGCTTCTCTACTGAGACCACCACCATTTCTACACATTATTTAGGCCACAGTCAGAGGCAGCCATTCCCCTCACATTAACCTTTGACAAACTATTATCTGGGCCAATTTGTAGATATAATTGATTTTACAAAACAATGTGAAAAAGATGGCATGGTAAAATGGTATGAAGGACTTGCAAATTCATGAAATAGACATGTCTTTCATCTCCTATTAATTTTTCATGGACAACCTCTCCAAACAGGTAACAGTCAATAACAGTTTCAAACTTAGGCCTTGTCCTGGCCCAAGGTTTGAAAAGGACTATCAATGAATGAATGAATGGAAGGAAAGGAAGAACAGAGAGAGAAAAAAGGAAAGGGAAACGTTGGTAAGGCAACATATGAAATAGAGCATGAAAAAGCTCTCCAGGAACATATCAAGTTTATATACCCATAAACTTATTAATTCAAAACATATTAGCCATGATAAATCCTTTTGAAAATACTTGAATGACAGACCCAAGTAAGAAGGCAAATTTGTAGAGATGGTTACTCATGGTATATTCCCATAAGAGACTGCCAAACAGAAAGCAATGAAAATTTGGGAAGGTTACTACTCCTAACACTTTAGTCTTAAATCTCTCTCCTCCAACCTCATCCCTTAGGCCAAAGCTTCATAAAACATCTCCAAATAGGCCACCTCATTAAAATAGCTTATATTAAGTACTGGATAAAGAACTTTGCCACAGAAACTATTTATAACCTATTCTCTATAGCAGGAATATAATCCACACCAACCTGTGCACCCCAACTATACAAGTAAAATATTGTCTGAATAGGCTCACTTTCAAAATGGTTAGTCCTTTTTTCCCTCAAAACTACTAACTACTAGGGCTTCAAAAATATGAATTTCCCAATATTTTTAACAGGCAACTCAAGTATCAATTACTTTTATTCTTTTGTGGGGAAAGCTACTCGGAATATATATGACAGTCTGCAGTTAGCCTTTACTCTGTTTACAGGAACCAGTTACTGGTTAAATTGCCTGAACTACTGGTGTCTCTTTCTGAAAACAAAACCAGTACCCTTGTGAAAATAAGAGTGAGCAGGTACAATGTGCTGAGAGATCACATTATTTAAAAGGCCTAATGTTTCATTCCTCTTCTTTTCAACTCATGTCTTAAGGAGTAGAAATTACTTTTGGATGGCACAGACATAATACGGATAAAAATACTCCATACGTTCTGTGGAATTTTCCAAGGAAAACCCACGTGGAATGGTGTATAAGTTTACTGACTGCTGATTAATAATTATTAATTAACTTAAGGACATAAAGACAAGCAAACTTACACTGAATTAAGAGCATATGCCAAGAAATTTAAATGAAATGAATTCGGTGCCCCCATTCAAACCAGCTGAGACAAAGCTTCATAAAAAATAAGTGAGAAATGACAAAGGAAGAAATGAAATCATGAACAACTCAAATCAACAAAACTAAAAAACAAAAAGAACTGATAACTTTAAATAAAAGCACCTGGGCTGGTATGTATGTGCCTCATGTGTGTGACTACATGCATTTATGTTGAATTGCTGATGAATAAATATTTAATATTTAAAACCTAAAGAACTGAAAAAGAGTTATAGATAGATAAGAGCTCATGGATATATAATATATATAAAAAGACCATGAAATATGAATAAATAGAATGTCCTTCAGAGAAAAAGAGCAAATAAAACAACTTTAAGAAATGAACAAAGAACCACCTCCAAGTAAAAACCACCAAAGAATTCCTCTTGAAAAATATGCTATAAAAAGGAGAAAATATTTAAATAGTTATACATATGAATAAATATTAAATAGTTTAATCCCCCTAAAAATTCTGTTTCCAATTACATATTCCCTTGTCTGATTATATATTTTACTACAATGAAAGAATAAACTATGACTTAGCTCTTCCCACATTAGCAGCATCCTCCATTATGCTACTACCAAAATATATATATATAATATATCTTTACATACTTCCTCCAGGAAAAGACCACAGAATTTCTCTATCTCAATTTAGCTAGTGCATGGGACAATTTGCTGTATCTTTATAAATATTAAAATAGGGAGAGGAAACTTTTTTGTCTACTTCACAAATATGTGGTTCTCCAGTCAACAACATATTTCCTATAAATGCAGGTCAAGAATCCACTTTCAAATGTCTTGAATCTTTTTTAGCAACCAAGTAACAGAGAGGATTGCCTATTTTCAATGTATCCTATTAAGAAATAAGGAGCAATTTAAATCAAACAAGAAAAGATAAAATCTAAAATAAATGAGAATGGGGAGGATAGAGAAGGATATAATCATACACTGAAGAAATTAAGTGGAAATAAATGTATTCATAATCACTTAGCCAAACTGTTAATGTTTTAAACCTTCCCATTCTTCCATGATGTGTATTTCTTTAAAGTATAAAATGGAATGTTAAGAAGGCAGCTCTCTGGCAAGTGTAAACACCCTAATAATTTTTACAAGTTGCTTTTTGGTAAGGCCCATACACCTAACTCCACCCTCATTTTAAAACTGTACTGTCACATAATTAAATACCACAGCCTTCATTTTAAAGGCTCTAAATAGAAATGCAACTGTGGTCTACATTCAGAACTCAGCATATGGGTTCTGAAGGATAATTTCAACAATAAATAGAACGGCTGGGAAAGGTACAAACTTGAAAACTGTGAAGAGTACTCTTCAATTAATAAACGTGACACAAGTAGGACCAATAAGACTTCCGCATATCTCTTGGCTTGTACCTCCTCAAAGGATAATGATCTCTTGGACCATTTAATAGTTAGCATCCTTATGACATACCCAAAGGTAAGCAATTAGTGTCAATTGTAATGATTAAAAAGAACATCTTTTAAAAATAAACTCATCTGAGTAAATGAAGCCAGTTGAAAAGTCAACCAGATGTATTTTATATATCTTATCTAAAAGAGATGTAAAAATAAATGAACACTTCCTTGAAATACAATCTTCTAATACGAAGTGTCGCCAAAGATCCCCTGGGGTTTCTCTAAGTTATGTGAATACAACTTGTCAATCATAGAGGGAAGAAAGTAACCACCACAATTAAATAAGACTTGGAAATATTCAAATATAAAGACTATACATTAGGAGTATTTTTTCGTGTACTAGGTAAGTAGGTAGTCATAAAAATGTCAGAAAATTGACAAATGGTACATTTTTAAAGGAAAAGTAGGCAACTATGCATATTAATGTTAAAAAGTTTCATAATCAAAGATTATATCTTCTATTGCTCTCACACAATAAATACTGCCTCAATAAAAGATGAAAACTAAGGATAACTTCATTGATCTTTTTTCATTGTCCGGGACATCTTCAATGTTACATAAAAACAGTTTTGCAGTTAAAAAATGAATAAATCTATACAACTACAATGAACTGGAACATTATCAAATATGTTCAAAAACATATTAAAATTAGACTTTGGTGTATACATAGGAGCTGCAAAACACTCGGTGACAAACTCTAAAATTCCACACAGTAAAGAACAGGAATAAGAGTGGCTATAAAGAGTTCATGCTGTGTGACTCACAACCCACCTCTCATGTGATGGTGCAGACAGTCCCACTGACTGCTGTGAGATTGAACATAAGCCTGTAAGCAAAAGTCTCACAAACACACAGCCCGGTGTGCATTTCAACTAGCCTACAGAGCTAGCAGTGCTATTGTTGAGATTCTGCAGGCCACATAAAGATGGTACATACCACAATTCCAAATTTTAAAATGAGACTTTAGGTCTAGAGAATATCATACTCAAAACAGCAGTGCCCTCATAGATTACCAGTAAAAACTTCTGATTACAAACTTCAAACCTTCATGAAGTACTTTACAAAAAACAATCCTCTAGAAATTAAGCTAAAGGTATAAAACGGAAAAAAAAAGATTTATAGTAGTAATATTTCTGATAAACTTTTCTTCTTGGGGATATGTATCTACATCTTCATATAATATATGTAGTATTTGTGCAGTCATAAAATACTATATTTTCTGGTCTACAGTTTTTTTTTTTTTGGCTTCTCACAGGGTCTAAAATAAGACTAAATCTTAGTTATTTGTGTGTTATCTTCAATTTCAACTTCAATAAATGTTTGTTAAAACTGGGGAGAGTATTTAAGTTTAAAAGTGTACAGGATTTTATAAAGACTAGAACATATGCAGGTGGGTGCTAAAGGAATTTTCTGCCTGTTTTGCCAGAAGCAGGATGCCATCTGCTTGTGCCATGAATCAAGCTAACCCTCAGCAGTTTCCAAAGTTGAGAGGAAAATCTGGTTGTTAGTTAATATTGAAAACACGCTCTAATCCAAGAAGAACTGTTATTTTTGTAAATGCTCTTAGATACAGTTAAAACCTTGCACTCCCCCTTAAAAGCAGTGATCTGTTTATCCTTTCCTCACACAACAACAGTCAATCCTTGAGCAACACAGGTTTTAATCGCACGGGTCCACATACATGTGAGTTTCTTTCAATAAATGTATTTGAAAATTTTTGGAGATTTGTGACAATTTGAAAAAACATGCAGGCAAACCATGTAGCATAGAAATTTAAAAAAAAAGGAAGAAAGAAAAGAAAAAGTTGGGCAAGTCATCAATGGATAAAATATATGTAAATACTAGTTTATTTGTATATTAATCAATCGTTTATGTTATCAGTAAGGCTTCGGGTCAACCGTAGGCTATTAGTAGTTAAGTTTTGGAAGAGACAAAAGTTACATGCAAATTTCTGGCTGCAAGGCAGGGAGTATTATAGACACCCCCATACCCATTTTGTCCAAAGATCAACTGTACTTTAAAAAGAAAAATCAAATTAATGCCAATCTCTTATTTATAAATAGTATTCTCTATTAAGTAACTGAAATTTTATTATTTTGATTCATTATCTGAAAAGTAAGCACAGCTTTATATTTGAAACTATTTCTATCTTGTATACTACAGATATCAACAAATAAGACAAGTAAAATCACTTATATGAAGAAGTTTCACAGTAGCCAATTAGAAATCATAATTCTCTGATTCTGTTACTGCTTTATCTGTCTGTCTCTCTAATTTAAACTTAAAGTCCACAGTCATTATGTGCTGTGTTTAAATAGCATAAGACACAAAACCTAGTGGTTTATGAACACTCTTACTGTACATATTATTAAAGCCTAAAGAAAACTCTGAAAATGGAAAACATCTTGCCAGATCTTGTTACAGGAGGAAAGTCTTATTGGATTTATCAGTTAGGAAATTTTTTGTTTGAACATTTTGAGTAATAACCTTCCTCAGAGTAGGGGCTAGAAAGAACTTTAATAAAACTCTGTGAAAATCCATGTAAATGACTGAAAGTTAACTTAAAAATGACTCCTAATAATTGATTTTTAAAAATTAATTCAGCAGTTTTCCTTTTGAATAAGCATAACAACAGGGGACTTTTAAAACTATATAGAACTTTCAGCCACATCCTAATCACATTAGGCACCTACAACCTAACATAAATTAGGTACCATTTGTCAATTTTCTGACATTTTTATGACTACCTACTTACCTAGTACACGAAAAAATACTCCTAATGTATAGTCTTCATATTTGAATATTTCCAAGTCTTATTTAATTGTGGTGGTTACTCTTTCTCCCCTCTATGATTGACAAGTTGTATTCACACAGCTTAGAAAAACCCCAAGGGATCTTTGGTGACACTACTTATTAGAAGATTGTATTTTGAGGAAGTGTTCATTTATTTTTACATCTCTTTTAGATAAGATATACAAAATATATCTGGTTGACTTTTCAACTGGCTTCATTTACTCACATAAGTTTATTTTTAAAAGATGTTCTTTTTAATCATTATAATTGACACTAATTGCTTACCTTTGGGTATATCATAAGGATGCTAACTATTAAATAGTCCAAGAGATCATTACCCTTTGAGGAGGTACAAGCCAAGAGATATTAGTTCCATGAGGATTTTAGTCCCATGAGGATATCTATCATTTCATAGAAAACTTTCACCTGAAAATTGTTGCCACTTGGATGGCATGCCTTGAATTTTAAGTTAAATGATCACATTAATATTGTGTTACACAGCTATTATTTTCACATTTTGCAACAGTGAGATTGACCACAAACACACAATCCATTTTAAAAAATTCCTCTGACCTCCCTTATTTATAGCACAAGGGACAGGTCTCGTTTTACTTTCAGGAAGCCGGAAACAATCAATTTGGCTTTGGTGAGATGAGGGAACACTTACAGGGAAACTGGGTTTGCTGATACCAGCAGTGAAGGTGGGTAAAGTGGGTTTGGTGAGTATGTATGTGCACATACGTACAAAGATGGGGGGGAAATGCAGCTTATAAATGTAATTCCCGCTATCTACTCATCTATGACTAAAGCCTTTAAAATACACCACCCACCAAGTATTAGGTTTATGTTGGTCATGGTTAAAAGACAGTGAGCAGGGCAACTCTGGACAAGAGACATTAACTTTCTCTGGACCTCAGCTTCTTTATCTGTAAAATTAGCAGTAAGGTCTACTTTAGCTTGTAAGGTTCCTTTCAGTTCTGAAACTCAAACATTCATTGAATATCAATTTTTAGAACATAAAGATGAATAAAACACAGCTCTGGCTCTAAAAGTTGACTCAATAAAAAACTCAATCACCATGTCCACTGTTTCTAAATAAAACATACTGTGTTTGCATTTGTGTGTATATGTGTACATGTATGTGTACAGTCATCCCTTAGCATCCTTAGGGGATTAGTTCCAGGACTTCCCTTGGATACCCAAATCCACAAATGCTCAAGACTCTGACATAAAATGGCATAGAATTTGCTGTATAACCTATGCACATCCTCTTGTATACTTCAAATAATCTCTGGATTACTTATAATATCTAACACAATGTAAATGTTACACAATAGTTACATTGTTTAGGGAATAATGACAAGAAAAAAGTCTATACGTGATAAGTACAGATACAACTTTTTTCCTGAATCCTTGCTCTTTGGTTGGTTGAATCCACAGATGCAGAGGGCTAACTGTACATACACATTCATATGTAACTATAGACATATATACACATATATGTGTAACTATAGATACACACACACATATATATGTATACACCTGCACGTACAGTTTTACTTTGATATCTGTGGGGGACTGGCTCCAGGATGTCTCTCAGATAATAAAATCCATGCGCTCAAGACTCTTATATAAAATGGTGAAGTATTAGCATATAGCCTACATCTTCCTGTATACTTTAAGTCATCTCTAGATTATTTATAATAACTAATATAATATAAATGCAATGTAAATAGTTGTATTTTTCTTTGTATTATTTTTTAGTGTTATAAAGTTTTCTTTTTATTGTTTTTTTCCAATACATACTTGGTTGAATCCAGACTCAGAATATGCAGCAGATACAGAGGGCCCACTGTATACACACACACACACACACACACACACACACACACACACACACAAACGTTTGATGAACAAAGCGTATGTTCTAAAAAACTTAAAACTGTGGTCTCATGAAATGGAAAACAATCAGTGAAAATTGACAACATATCACTCCACCAAAATAGGTAATTTATCAACTATATCACCACCCAAGAAAGCTTTTAATGCCATGCTCAGTAACCCAGGAATATATATTTCTGCCTTCTTTAAAACAGAGAAAAAAATCCTGTATGCACAGAAGAAAATGACATCCACAAATTTACTGATAGTTTATTTTCAGGAAACCATTTAGAGCAAGGAAGGGGAAATACAGTTTAAAACACACACACACACACACGCACACACACACACACACACACACAAATGCTAATTATCATTGTAATTCTTGCTGAGATGCTTAAAAATTAAATACATTTCCCCTGAAGATTTTGGGCCTGTTCCATTTGGAATAACCAGCTTTTTCAATAATAGGAATTAGAAAAGACATTAATCTCTCTGATTGCTGGCATAATGATGATTGCAAAAATGGAAATAACATGTTATAATTGGAGTCCTGAACTCAGAAAAGTGCCGCATTTTTGACCAGCCCCTAGAAATAAAAATTGATGTCAATAATTAGTATTGGGAGTCTTAGAGCTAATTTCTATGTCTATCAGTTGCCCTACCTTCCTTTTCTACAGTTTTTTAACTTTTTATTTTGAAACAGTTTCAGACACACAAAAAAGTTGAAAGAATTGTACAAATAATTCCTGTATACTCTTCATCCAGATTCCCCAAATGTTTACATTTTGCCATATATGCTTTATTATTTTCCCTTTTTTAAACAAAAACAGGAAAATGAATAAAATACTTAGGAATAAACAACATAAGTGAAAGACTTGTATCCTGAAGACTACTAAACAGTGTAAGAAAAACGTAAATAAATGAAAAGACAATCCCATTCATGGATTACTAGGTTTAATGTTGTTACAAAGGCAATATTCCCTAAATTGATCTACAAATTAAACAAAATCTCTATTAAAATCCCAAATGGTTTTATTATGCAGAAATTGATAAGCTCATATGGAATAACAAGGGCCTCCAAATAGCTAAAACAACCTAGAAACAGAAAAACAAAGTTGGAGTACTCGCATTTTCCCAATCTCAAAACTTACTATAAAGTTACAATAATTAACATTATATGGTACAAACATAGGATAGACACACAGATCATAAAAATAAAAGTAAACTCATAAATTTGTGAGCAATCGATTTTGACACAGGGGCCAAGACAAATTTGGGAATAGTCTTTTCAACAAATGATGTTGGGTTAACAGGATATCCACATGCAGAAGTATAAAGTTAGACCCTAGTCACACCATATACAAAAACTGACTCATCACAGGATCAAAGACCTAAATATATATGCTAAAACTAGAAAACTCTTAGAAGAAAACATAAGCACAATTCTGTTTGACCTTGGAATAGGTAATGGCTTACTGGCTATGACACAAAAAAGCACAGGTAAGAAAAAAGAAAAACTGGACATCATAAAAATTTAAAATATATCCTTCAAAAACTATCATCAAGAAAGTGTAAAGAAAGACACAGGGGCTCATGCCTGTAATCCCAGCATTTTGGGAGGCTGAGGCAGGCAGATAATGAGGTCAGGAGTTCAAGACTAGCCTGGCCAACATGGTGAAACCCCATCTCTACTAAAAATATAAAAATTAGCCAGGCATGGTGTGCGCCTGTAAGCCCAGCTACTCGGGAGGCTGAGGCAGGAGAATTGCCTGAAACCAGGAGGCAGAGGTTTCAGTGAGCCGAGATCACACCACCGCACTCCAGCCTGGGCAACAGAGCAAGACTCTTTCTTGGAAAATAAAAAACAAAGAAAGTGTAAAAATCTGCAAAAGGGAGGAAATGTTTTTCAAATCATGTATCTGATAAGGTTCTAGTATCAAGTATATATAAAGAAATCTCAGCTGGGCACAGTGGCTCACAATCCCAGCACTTTGGGAGGCTGAGGCAGGTGGATCACCTAAGGTCAGGAGTTCAAGACCTGCCTGGCCAACATGGTAAAACACTGTCTCTACTAAAAATACAGAAATTAGACGAGCATGGTGGCTTATGCTTGTAATCCTAGCTACTTGAGAGGCTGAGGCAGGAGGATCACTTGAACCCAGGAGGTGGAGGTTGTGGTGAGCTGAGATCGTGCCACTGCACTCCAGCCTGAGTGACAGAGAGACTCAGTCTCAAAAATATGTATATATAAAATATATATTATATATATTTTATATAAAGATATATTATATATATTTTATATAAAGATATATTATACTTTATATAAAATATATATAATATAAAATATATATATTATATAAAATATAAATATATAAAATATATTTAATATTATATATATTATATATAAAATATATATAATATTATATATAATATATAAAATATATAATATATATAATATATAAATATATATTATATGTATATTATATATTATATACACATAATATATATTATAAATATAATATATAATACATTATATATATATATATATATAAAGAAATCTTATAAATCAACAATTAGGCCAGGTGCGGTGGCTCACGCCTGTAATCCCAGCACTCTGGGAGGCCGACGCGGGCAGATCACGAGATCAGGAGATCAAGACCATCCTGGCTAACACGGTGAAACCCCGTCTCTACTAAAAAATACAAAAAATTAGCCAGGCGTGGTGGCAGGTGCCTGTAGTCCCAGCTACTCAGGAGGCTGAGGCAGGAGAATGGCGTGAAGCTGAGAGGCGGAGCTTGCAGTGAGCAGAGATCACACCACTGCACTCCAGCCTGGCAGACAAAGACTCCGTCTCAAAATAAATAAATAAATAAATAAATAAAAATAAATAAATAAATCAACAATCAAAAGACAAATAACCCAATTTAAATATGGCAAAGAATCTGAATAGACATTTCTTCAAAGAAGACACACAGTGTCTCAAACACATGAAAAGATACTCAGCACTATTAGTCACCAAGGAAATACACAGAGATGCCACTTCACACCCACTAGGAAGGCTATAATAAAAAAAAAATGATAAGAAGTGTTGACAAGGATGTGGAAAACGTGGAATCCTTATTCATTGCTGGTGGGAATATAAAATGGTGGATTTGGCAGTTCATCAAAATGTTAAGCTCAGAGTTACCATGTGACCCAGACATTTCATTCCTAGGCATATACCCAAAAAACTAAAAATGTGTCAACAACAAACGTGTTCACAAATGTTCATATCAGTATTATTCATAATAGTCAAATGGTAGAAAAAACCCAAATGTCCATCAAATGATGAATGTGGTATATTCAAATAATGACTGGAATGATATTCAGCCATAAAATGAAATAATATAGTATTGATACATGCTATAATATGGATGAATCTTGAAAATATTATGCTAAATGAAAGAAGCCAGTCACAAAGTCCATACTGTATATTCTATTTATGTGAAAAGTACAGAATAGGTAGGCAACTCCATAAAGACAGAAAGTAAATTAGTGGTTGCCAGGGCCTGAGGGAGGGGAAATGAACAATGACAATGCATAAGGGGTTTCCCTTCAGGGTGATCAAAGTTCTGGAACTAGACGGTAGTGATTGTTGCAAAAGATATTGTACAAAGTACTAAAAACTACTTAATTGTACGTTTTAAAAGAAAAAAAGTACTGTATTTAACTATATCCTTTTTTTTTTAAAGTATTTGAGGGAAAAAAATGTGTTAGAAAACTCTGTGAGTAAAAAGAGAAAGAAAACAGAAAATAGCCAGACAGACACTTGCGGGAACTCTCACCTATGTGGAACAAAGAGGAAGAAGAGGCCAGAGAAGCAACCAGATGGAAAATGGAGTTTGTAAAATCAAATGGAACACTATTAGGGTCAGAAGTGTCAAATTCTTTCGGAAAATCATTCTGAGTGATGAGCATACTTAATACAAGTCCCACCCAGTTTAAATACGCTCTCTTAAAAAGAAGCCTGCTTACTACTCCATCCCCCTTCTCTGGTTGGAGACCAATCCTGGACATTATTGAAAACAACTAAGCTACGTTTCTTTCACAGTGTTCCATAAGTCAGGTTTTCACCATCTGTCTGATCTTTTCTTCATTAGATAGGATTAAGGATTAATAAAGATGGACTCAATATATTTTTTTGTTTTCATTATTATTATTTTTTTGAGACAGAGTTTCACCCTTGTAGTCCAGGCTGGAGTGCAGTGGTGCGATCTCGGCTCACTGCAACCTCCGCCTCCCAGGTTCAAGCGATTCTCCTGCCTCAGCCTCCCAAGTAGCTGGGATTACAGACACCTGCCACCACGTCCCGCTAATTTTTGTATTTTTAGTAGAGACTGGGTTTTGCCATGTTGGCCAGGCTGGTCTCAAACTCCTGACCTCAGGTGATCCACCCATCTCGGCCTCCCGAAGTTCTGGAATTACAGGGGAGAGCCACCGCGCCCAGCGACACAATAGGTTTAATACAAATACGACCCCCTTATTACCAACCTGATCTTAATCTCATTTCATGAGTTAAATTATGAAAAGAAAATCTACTCTCTTGATGATCATATAAAGTAATAATTTTATTACCTTATTGTTTTTATTAAGTAATGATGTTTCTTTTTTCTTTTGTACTAGTTCTATTGTAGTTTGTAAAACTACAGAATAGGGTGCAGCAAACCAACATGACACATGTATACATATGCAACAAACCTGCACGTTGTGCACATGTACCCTAGAACTTAAAAAAAAAAAGAAAGAAAGAAAATAGACCGGTTATTTCCTTAAAAAAAAAACTACAGAATAATTTTCCTAGAGGCTGACTGGAAATTTAAAAGTTCTGATCATTTTGATTTTTGCTTTGGACACACTTATCCACAGTAGTTTTTTTTGTTTGTTTGTTTGTTTGTTTTAGACAGAGTCTTGCTCTGTCGCCCAGGCAGGAGTGAAGTGTCGCGATCTCGACTCACTGCAACCTCCGCCTCTGGATTCAAACAATTCTCCTGCCTCAGCCTCCCGAGTAGCTGGGATAATCAACTTTTTTATTTTTAGTAAAAACAGAGTTTCACCATGCTGGCCAGGCTGGTCTCAAACTTCCAACCTCAGGTGATCCACCTACCTTGGCCTCCCGAAGTGCTGGGATTACAGGCATGAGTCACCGCACCCGGCCCACAGTAGCATTTTATGGAATATATGCAGAAAAGCAAAAACAAAAACAAGTTTCTTGTTTTTCAATAATAGTCTAATAAGCGAGAGCATTTTAGAAAAGAACAAGTGGATGTATAAATCAGTTTGTTTTCAAACACTTTCCCTGTATCATTTTGTTTTATTTTATTTTCTAGGGCATCAGAAACTGCTACGCTGTATGCAGACTGGCCAGCCAAGAGAAAGTCTTGGCACTACTCTGAAATAAGATATGTCAGGTCTACCCTTCCATATTGCGTGACTGGCCTAGTTAGAGTAAATATATACATGACAGTAAAGAGATACAGTATCAATATGGATGCTACGGTGTTATCACCTCATTCGCAATGTTTCTTGTGTCAATGACATGCATGCTAACTAAAAAAGACTAACATATGAAAAGATAAAGAATTCAAAAATAAAACCAAGCTAAGCAGTATGACACCAATTTGCACAATTAAGTTTGAAAGACCAAACAGTACAAGCTTACACATTCACTTTTAAGACTATTTTATTTTCGAAAAATAATTCCTAAAGTATTTGTTATTTATATTCTAAAATTCAAGTTATATTTTACTTTATTGGTTCCAAAGTGATCAAAACCTCTGTAAGACTGTATTTTGAGCTCACAGGGTAAATATTATCCGGTAATCTGGAGTTAAGCCTGAGCATCTAGAAGTCATCAAGAAACATTTCTATCACAATACTTTAATATTTGCATAAAGTATGTTTGTCTCATGCCCTTTAGCCTCAGAAATATCAGAGTGATTGATACCTATTAAAAGAAAGTTACAAGGCACATATCTTTCTCCTAAGAAGAGTAAGCATCAAATAAATTTTAAGAGAGAAGTCCATTTACATATTTCAACAAAGAGCAACTTAGGGATTTGAATTATAAGGGAAGAAAACATGAGAGATCAAAATAATAGGTGCTTCTAATATTTTAAGAAAACTGCCATGATACTAACGATTCTTCTATTAGCTTTGTCTACAATAAGAATCACTACCATTTATGGAGTACTTGCTATGTGCTAGATGCTACATATAAATTAGCTCATTTAATCCTCAAAAATAATATTTTCCCTATTTTACAAATTAGGTAAATAAGACTTAGTCAACTACTTTGTTGAAGGATGCTCAAGGTATGAGGCAGAACAGGATTTTGAACCCAAGTTGGTCTAAGAATCACTACCATTCATGGAGTACTTGCTATGTGCTAGGTGCTTCATATAAATTGTCTCACTTAATCCTCAAAAATAATATTTTTCCTATTTTACAAATTAGGTAAATAAGACTTAGTCCACTACTTTGTTGAAGGACACACAAGGTATGAGGCAGAACGGGATTTTGAACCCAAGTTGATCTAATTCCAAAGCCTATTCCTTTGCTATACTATGATGCACATCCTCCGTTCTTTTAAAGCAAGGCTGCAAACTCAAAAATGTCAAATGGGGTCTTGCAATTAAAATAAAATACATGCTGTGAGTTAAATAGAGAATAAAGTGATTTTGCAATCAAGTATATACCTGCCTACCTAACCTGGTCTCTTGATATATATTGTACAAACATAACAAAGCAGTCAAAATATGTCCACTGGCCACTAATCTGCTGGACTCATTTTTTAAAATCACCAAGTGATAATCAATAGAAGATGAAGAGCAATCCTAGCAAGGTGTTTTTTTTAAATGTCATTTTCACATGAGATGTGTAGGGTTGAAACCAGTTACCAATGAGCAAATGAATAAAATATTGATATTTTTATGGTAACTCCTTTACTTTTGCCCCTTATATACAAACCTTGTAGCAATAATAAACTCTGCAGAAAAGTATCATTTAGTATTGACTGTTTTCTACTTTTATAGTTAGCATTTCCAAAGATGCACTTGAAGGGTGAATGTACGCAAGTCTAAAAACAGACTTCTTACCTAACAGATTTACATGCAATAGTGGTGGTTATGTACTCAGGGAGTTAAAGGATATAATCAAATCCCTAATTATTGCTCTGAGAGCACTATCAACTACCTGAACACCATCCCTACTCTAAACCAGCAACCCAGGGAGCAGCAGATAACCCTCATAGGCACCCCAACTCCCTGCAGCCTTGGGAATTAGAATTAGGTATTTCTCCTTCCTACAGCCTACAGTCCTTCCCCACTGACCAATTCCCCACTCCACACAAGGGCAAAAACTAGGTGGTAAAATGGCAGAGGTGTGACAGAAAAGGAAGGGCATGGGGAAAGTCTGAGTAGATGGACACCACTGTTAAACAAATTCCAAGCTCTGGCTGTGCAGTGGTCCACAGAAGCATTTGGCAATCTAGGATTCCTGGGAGGCTCCTCCACAAGGCAAAGCACAGTAAAAATACTTAGACCACTGCCAGATCAAGTGCCTACTCTAAAAAGCACTGTCAGTGGTCTAGGGCAGAAGTGCCAAAATGCAATAGATCAAAATTATCAAGACTCAGAAAACAGAACATGGAAAATTCAGTTCCATATGCAGAAGAGAGTTCAGGAAGTCAATATATAATGTTTTAAAACATTATTTTTATGACAGTCAAAGCCCACCAAATGAGTACTAACACTAGATATAAACAAAAGACGTTACCCATAATGTCAGGTATTATAAGCAGAAGTTATACATCTAAGTAGGTATTTAGGCTAAATAAAACTGCTGATTTATAGATTAAATAATACATTATTGATCTGGGCACTCACAAAATGACATTGCCAAACACTGATGAGGATTTTATGCATAACCACGTTTTCAACCTGTCCTAATATCATATTTGCTTCTATTTTAATGAGTATTATGTACCTAAGAATATCACTGTATCAGGCTTTTAACACTGACCTTAATCGCTGTGTTTTTTAAAAAAGAATATTTATTAGAAAGTGTAATATTTCATGTCTTTAGCTCGTTTTCTCTGTTCTCTGTCTACTCAACAGGTCACGTTAAATGTCTGCCATCTAAAAATCCATCACTAGAATTATTGAGTGGTTCAAAAAGAAGTATACACTTTAGTTGAAGTTTGTGACTCATATATACACTTTCACGTGTATTTCTTTCAAATAAAAAAAATATGCATCTGAGCACAGCTGACATTCTGACACAGAAAATATACATCTTCCCTAATCTCACCCATAACTTACTATTATAACAACCAGTGTCATATTAAGACTCATATATTCAAAGTTTACTGTTTATAAGGAGTCCATTAAACCAACACATTACTCATATGTATTCTAAAACTACCTGATATAATGAGAAGTGGAAAAGGGTAGAAATCACACAATTAATCCTTACTTAGAGATAATTTTTATAACATATAAAGTTTAATAAATGAGAGAGAATTCTAAAAACAATAATTTAAATCACCATTGTTCCTAAATCAATAGCTTGATTTCTTTGCATTCAGGTATAAGCTTTCAGCAGCAAATACTGAGTAATACGGTAGCTCAATTCATCTTTAATCTGCTTCAAATTGAATCATTTTTAAACTTCCAGTTAGAAATTCTTGAGCTGTGAGTTTCTATTACTGCATAGCAATTACAAGCTCCCAGCTGTGCAGTAAATATTACCTGAACAGAACTTCTTAAAATACCCTTTACAACTAAATACCTAGTAATCATTAAACAAGGCAAGAAATATAAGGTTTGGGGTTGTCGGGGGAAGAGCAAGCAAACATTGTTTTACAACAGGTTTCTGGAAACTATAAACTCAAATAGCAGATTACTAATTATTGGGAAGGAGATGGGATCTTGGTTCTAAGAATCTCTGTAACAACTTGGATATAGATGTAATAGAGCCTAACTAAATTATTTCTTGCAAAGACAGAGGTGTAATATTCTCAACAAAGTCCTGTAGAGTACACCCAGTCAGCTGACAGTCATCTGTGGTAAAGTCATTCATGGGGGCTTTCAGCAGAACGGAGGGAGAAAGTCCAACATATTCAGCATGCTCTCTAAAGAAAAAGGAAAAAAAAAAAAAAGACTGGCAAGACGACAGTGATCCAGCAAGATCTGTCTCCTACGTCACAAAAGATGTAGGAGGCTGCTTCAGAACTGACTAAAAAAGTTCCCTGGAAGACAGTAACAGATTTTTTTTAAGGCAATGTAAATTATAACTATAGGATGTCAACATCGTACTTCTAAAATTTTTTTTTTTTTTTTTGCTGGTTTATAATGTACTGAGTGAGCTATGTTCTTCAGGGGTAAAAAAAAAAACTTTCTAAAAATGCCTTAAATTTTTAAAATAAACAGCAAATTTATCAGGGGAAATGTACATAAATAATTTAAAAATTTTATTAGAAGACAAAGAGCATGAAACTTGATGATACTCAGAATTGAGTAGTCTAGATCAGAATGATATGTATGTCCAAGAATTTTAGAATATTACAGTATTTTCTAACAACCCCTGGGGCAATAGAAGAATACAGAATCAAAATCCTATTTCCTGCTACTATATCTAGATTATATACCCAAACTCTCCTTTAATTAATAATTATGAATCTGGCCAGGCGCGGTGGCTCACGCTTGCAATCCCAGCACTTTGGGAGGCCAAGGCGGGTGGATCGTCTGAGGTCAGGAGTTCAAGACCAGCCTGACCAACATGGAGAAACCCCATCTCTACTAAAAATACAAAATTAGCTGGGCGTGGTGGCACATAACTGTAATCTCAGGTACTCAGGAGGTTGAGGCAGGAGAATCGCCTGAACCCGGAAGGCAGAGGTTGCAGTGAGCTGAGATGGCACCCTTGCACTCCAGCCTGGGCAACAAGAGTGAAACTCTGTCTCAAAAAATAATTATTATTATTATTATGAATCTATTATACCAATGGCTGATATCCCAATAAAATGAGACAAGCATACACTATGTGCCCCCTGATAGAAGTACACAATAACTTAAGATGTGCTCTTGCAATGTTTATCCAAAGAAGATATATGAATGGCCAATATGCACATGCAAAGATGTTCAACTTAATTAGTCATCAGGGAAATGCAAATTAAAACAACAGATTTAATATCATTTTTCACCCAATAGAATGGTTATAATGAAAAAGTCAAACATTAACAAATGTTGTCAAGGACGTGGAGAAAGTAAAGCCCTCATACACTGCTAATAGGAGTGTAAAACAGTGTGACCACTTTGGAAAACAGTCTGGCAGATCCTTAAAAAATTAATCATAGGCTAGGCAGTGTGGCCCACTGCTGTAATCCCAGCACTTTGGGAAGCCAAGGCCGGAGGACTGCTTGAGCCCGGGAGTTCAACACCAGCCTGGACAACACAGGGAGACCCACGTCTCCACAAAAAATTTTAAAAATTAGCTAAATGTGGTGATGCATAGTTATAGTCCCAGCTACTTAGAAGGCTGAGATGGGAGGATTGCTGGAGCCCAGGAGTTCAAGGCTGCAGTGAGCCATGATGGTGCCACTGTACTACAGCCTGGAGTATAGAGCAAGACCCCATCTCTTTAATAAAAAAAAAAAAAAAATCAATCAGGCCATGCACGATGGCTCACACCTGTAATCCCAGCACTCTGGGAGGCTGAGGCAGGTGGATCACCTGAGGTCAGGAGTTCAAGACCAGCCTGACCAACATGGTGAAACGCTGTCTCTAATAAAAGTACAAAAATTAGCCAGGCGTGGTGGCGGGCGCCTATAATCCCAGCTACTCAGGAGGCTGAGGCAGGAGACTCGCTTGCACCCAGGAGGTAGAGGTTGCAGTAAGCCAAGATCGCACCACTGCATTCCAGCCTGGGCAACAAGAACGAAACTGCATCTCAAAAAACAAAAAAATGTTAATCATAGAATTACATTATCTATCAATTCCATTCCTTGATGTCTATATACACAAGAAAAAAAAAACTTGTGTCTGCACAAAAATTTGTACACCAAAGTTTACAGTAGCATTATTCTTAGCCAAAATATTAACTGGTGAAAGGCCAAGCAAAATATGGTGTATTCATACAATGGAATACTATTCAGGATTAAGAAACAACCAGTCATTGCTACAACATGGATGAACCTCAAAAATATGCTCAGTGAAAGAAGCCAGATACAATAGAACACATATTGTATGATTCCGTTTATATTAAGTATCCCCAAAAAGCCAATTTATAAAGACAGAAGTAGATTAGTGGTTGTCTACATCTGGGGGTGAAAATAAGGACTTACTATAAATAGGCACAAAGTTTATTTTTAGAGTAATCAAAATGTTCTGTTGAATTAGATTGCTGTAATAGTTGTAAAACTGTAACTATACCTAGTTCACTTAAAACCAGTGTATTTTATGTTAAATATTATGCACATTTCACCTCAATAAAGCTAATTTTTTTAAAGTCATCTTACCAAAAAATGTCTAAATCAGATTAAGCTTGTGGATCTAACTATAAACATAGAGAACATGCAGGGGAGCAAGAGGAACATATTAATGATACCACAAGGATAAAACCAGCAAAATCTACACTATGGGAAACTATACAAGATAATCAACCCTGTTTCTTTGACAAAACATTACAAAAAGGGGGTTGGGAGAGAGAAAGAATCTATAAATTAAGAGAGATCTAGAAATATAACAACTACCAAAATGTATGAAATTTATCTGGATCACATTCAAATACATTAAACTGTAAGACAATAGGGGAAATAAATATCTATTGGATATTAGATTATTTTTAAGAAATGATTACTAATTTGGAGGGATATAATAATGATATATAGATTATCTTTTAGAGATATATACTGAATTATTTACTGAAATAATGTCTGAGATTTGCTTCAACATAATCTGAAAGGGTGTGACTGGAAAGTAAACAGGTTCAAACGAAACAAGACTGGCCATGAGTTGACCACTGTTGAAGCTGAGTAATGGTTACATGGGACTCATTAAATTATTTTCTCCACTTTTGTGTATGTATAAAATTTTCTACCGAAAAAGGTGGCTTTTTTGTTTTGTTTTGTTTTGTTTTTTTGAGACAGAGTCTAGCTCTGTTGCCAGGCTAGAGTGCAGTGGCCCAATCTCGGCTCACTGCAACCTCCGCCTCCCAGGCTCAAGTGATTCTCCTGCCTCAGCCTCCCGAGTAGCTGGGACTACAGGTGCCCGCCACCACGCTTGGCTAATTCCAGGCACCAGTCTCAAGTCCTGGAGGGGCCACCCATACTTCTGACTGACCAGCTATAAATCAGGGGTCTCCACAACAACCTCTTCATATTCAATAATTTGCTAGAATGACTCACAAAACACTGTACTTATATTTACGATTTATTATAAGAGATACAACCCAAGAACAGTCAAATGAAAGAGATGCGTAGGGCAAGTTAAGATGGGGAAGAGGGACACATAGTTCCCATGCCCTCTCCATGTGAACCACCCTCCCAGTACCTCCACGTGTTCAATCCAGAAGTTCACCAAACACTGCTGTTTTAAGGAAGAGCTCCTACAGGACTCAATCTCCAGCCTCTACTTCCCCCAGAGGTTGGTGAGTGAAACTGAAAATTTCCACCCTCTAATCACATGGTCTGTCTGGTTACCAGCCATATCCTGAGGCAATTCAGTGGCTCCACTCTAAGTCACCTCACCAGCATAAATTTAGGTGTAATCAAAAGGAACTTCTTATGACTAACAAAACACTCTCCTAACACTCAGGAAACTCCATGAGTTCAAGGAACTCTGTGCCAGGAACAGAGACAAAGACCAAACATAAAATTTACTACACCTCAGCCAGGATGTTAAGTTCCTCTCCAGGTGGGCCTTTCCACAGGACTATACAGACGTCCTCTGGGTACAGTGGAACAGCTGGCTTCCTCCAGAAAGAACAACACAAGTATCAAGGCAGAAGTTTGTAATTCTTCTCATGACCCAGCCTCAGAAAGCACAAATCATCACCATCCACTGTATTCTATTGCTGACACAGAGTCAACCAGCTATAATTCAATGTGGAAGGGGACTACACTAGCATGTAAACACCAGGAGCCTTGGATCATTGGAGGCCATTTTGGAGGTGAGCTACCACAATATACAATCAATTCTGGTTATTATCAATAGTTATGTTCTACCATGTCACTGCAAACACCGAATTAGCCAATACTGAACCGCTTAGCGAATATGAGAAATACAAGGTTAGGTTCCTGTAAGCCTCTGGTCACAACATTTTCATCAACTGATCAATACATAATCTTGTTTAATGTGTGTTTCTGTTTAAAGTACCTTATTTTATTTTATTTTATTTTTGAGACAGAGTCTCACTCTGTTGCGCAGGCTAGAGTGAAGTGGTGCGATCTCGGCTCACTGCAACCTCCGTTTACTGGGTTCAAGCAATTCTCCTGACTCAGTCTCTGAGTAGCTAGGACCACAGGCATGTGCCACCACATCTGGCTAATTTTTGTATTTTTAGTAGAGACAGGGTTTCACCATGTTGGCCAGGTTGTTCTCAAACTCCTGACCTCAAGTGATCCACCCGCCTCGGCCTCCCAAAGTGCTGGGATTACTTACAGACGTGAGCCACCATGCCTGGCTGCTAAAGCACCTTATTTTATATTGTTGATTCATTAACATTGAACTCATGGTCAACAGTCTAAATAAAGCTTATTCAACACTCATATTTTCTCCAGAAGGTAGAGCATAGCCTTCTTGCACTTACAAACACTAGATAACACTTCAGCACTTCATATGGCACCATTTAAACAACCATATCACCAAGAAAAAGCACAAAAGAAGTGAAAAAAATCATGGCACTAAATAGCAAAAAGGATGCTTATTTACAGTATAACAGCTGAAATAATAAGGCAGAGTGTTGCTTTTTTCCCACCTCATCTGGGAAGATGAATGACTGGTGACTCAAATTTTTGCTGCTCTGCAAGTAGCCACAAAAACAACACAAGTATTGATTTGGGGGTTAAAAATAAAATTTAACAAGCAGGTGAATTTGCAAACACAGAATCCATGAATAATGATGAATAATGAGGATCCAACGAATATACAAACAGATAATCCCACAGAAGCCACAGGTTTTAGAAGTGTTCAATATTTTTATATTGAAATACTTGAATTAAATTCCTAAAGTCCACATCAATGTAACAATAGACAACATTTTATCTTCTATGGAGAAAACCAGTAGATTCTTATTTTGGTTTAAAAAACACCTAACAGGCCAAGAGCGCAGTGGATCACGCCTGTAATACCAGCACTTTGGGAGGCCAAGGCGGGTGGATCACCTGAGGTCAGGAGTTTGAGACCAGCCTGCCCAACATGGCAAAACCCTGTCTCTACTAAAAATAAAAAAATTAGCCAGGCGTGAGGGCTAATCTCAGCTACTTGGGAGGCTAAGGTGGGAGAATCACTTGAACCCAGGAGGTGGAGGTTGCGGTGCACCGAGATCATGCTGCTGCACTCCAGCCTGGATGACAAAGTGAGACTCCGTCGCAAAAAAATAAATAACCTAACAGTTAAGCCCAATATACTGTAATTTCTTAATTTAATCAGTCAATAATATAAGGCTTTTAATTATTAAAACATCACAGAAAATCTATTAAAAGATGAAAAGTTTCATAATCAAGCTTATCTAATGAATTGACAAGGAAGTAACTTACAATTCTAACTCTCCTAAAATAGGATGGTACCTTTAAAAGTGGAAAAAGTAGAAGTTGAACCATCTAAAGCAGAAACCAATACTAATAGAACTCACAAAATTTATATACTGGGGGTTGTGGCAGTTTCTAAATCTGGTCCAGTAACAATCATTCCTAGTCTAATTGTTTCCGTTAGTTAATGAAGGAGGATCAGTGGTCAAACAACAGATAATTAAGTATCAGAGTGATCCTATTTGCATGTTAAATGTAATTTATTTTTAAGTACAACAAAGAATCATTCAGACTGCATTATTTGATCAAATCTGCCTTCCATCTAGAAAGGCGGTAGAAGGAAAGATGATAGGAAACATATTTAAACAGAATACAGGACAGTTTTGATTTCATACAAAGAAGAAAGAATATTCTTTCTTCCAATTTGGCTCACAAAGAAGATGTGGACTCTGTGATACTCAAAGTTTGGCAAAAAGGTACATTAAAAATTAATGCACAATATGGAAAAAGACAAAGACAGCAACTACTATGAGGCAAATAACAGAAAATTATGAGATGACAAGCAGAAAGAAAGAATACAATGATTAAAGAGGTACTGGCAAAAATTTTGAGGTTAAGAAAAAAATGAATTAAATCCACAACAATTTTAGAGTATTTTATACTGACAATTTGTACAACAGCCAGAAATGAAAAATAAATCTACCTTTGTTATGTTTTACTTAATCAGATTTTGGCATACTCCTTAAGATAACAGATTAAAATTCCTACAAATGCCTAGTACATTCCCTTTTATAGAGTAAACACATACACACAAAAATCTAAGAACATAAACTCTTCTTATATTATCTGTAAGTTTAGAATCTCTAAAAGGCTTAATTTTCATATCATTAATACCCAAATTAGTGAGTAATTTGGAGACAGTTTATGTCCTAGAATAATCTAACTCAACAAGGGTATTTTTACATGGGTTTAGATCATTCATATGGCACAATCCTCCTTAATAAAATACTTCTGTCATCTATACTTAGGAAAAAAGAAGGGAGGGAAGGGGAAAAGAGAGGAAGAAAGAGAGAGAATGAGAATAGGAATCCAGCTGTCATAGTCGTTTGTTTTCCAGATCGGAGAAAGAGAAGATGGATGGGAAATTAAAGTAAAACAAAACAGTTTACAAAATTACAAAGAGAATCTCCAAGATTATCTAAATAAACCCATGTATTTACATATTGATATTCATATAAGTGTACAGTAACAACTTTGAGTAGCCATGGACAACTCTCCAAATTTCTAAATCTAATTCAGTTAATGGTAAAGGGGTTGGGTGAGGTGTCTCATGCCTGTAATCCTAACACTTTGGGAGGCTGAGGTAGTGTATTGCTTGAGCTTGGGAATTTGAGACTAGCCTGGGCAACATGGCAATCCTGTCTCTACAAAAAATACAAAGCAGCCAGGCATGCTGGTGCACACCTGTAGTCCCAGTTGCTTGAGGAGCTGAGGCAGGAGGATCACCTGAGCCCAGGAGGTTGAAGCTGCAGTGGGCCGAGATCACACCACTGCACTCTAGCCTGGCTGACAAAGTGAGACCCTATCTCAAAAAATAAATAAATAAATAAATAAATAAATAAGAATGAAATAGATTAACCACATTAAGCCTATTGACTATGCGTTTAATAAAATTACTGTGCTTAAATTCACCATTTAAGAGATGCTAACTAAATGGCTTTCCTCCAGACAATTTATAGTGTATACATAAAACTTGCCCCACAGGGGTCAAAACTGAAAGTCAAAGCACTTTACCAAGCCTTACCCTTTTCTATCTCTTCTTTAATCCCTTACTCATGGTTAAGCCCCCTTTCAAAAAAAAAAAAGTGAGCAAAGAAAATAAATGAACACTGGAGAAATGTCAGTTACTCCAGTGTAGATGCTTATAGTCACCTAACAACTCAATCACTCAATCATTTTATTTTTTTAATTAATTTATTTATTTTGAGACAGAGTCTCACTCTGCTGCCCAGGCTGGAGTGCAGTGGCATCATCTCGGCTCACTGCAACCTCCGCCTCCTGGGTTCAAGCGATTCTCCTGCCTCCGCCTTCCAAGTAGCTGGGATTACAGGCATGCACCACCATGCCTGGCTAATTTTTTGTATTTTTAGTGGAAGCAGGTTTTCACCATGTTGGCCAGCCTGGTCTCGAACCCCTGACCTCAGGTGATCCACCCACCTTGGCCTCCCAAAGTGCTGGGATTACAGGTGTGAGCCACCAAGCCCAGCCCAATCACTCAATCATTTTATAGTAAAGCTGGAAATTGAAATCCACATAAATTTGGAAATAAGTTGCTCAGTAAGGTGAACTTTCTCCTGTTGCACATATGTATACAACCTAGTTATATTACTATTACTGCAGGCATCTCAGACAACCAAGGAAAGATCAGCTTGCCTCATATAATCCCATTTATTTGCCAAAGGGAGCCTGTGTGCTCATATATATTTTAATGGTTTGTTCATATTCACTTACCACTTTACTGCTTTACTGTTTATATAAACTAGCTTTCCTTTACTTTTCTTTTTTTTTTTTTTTTTGAGACGGAGTCTCACTCTGTAGCCCAAGCCAGAGTGCAGTGGTAAGACTGCAACCTCCACCTCCGGGGCTCAAGCGATTCTCCTGCCTCAGCCTCCCAAGTAGCTGGGACTACAGGCACACACTACCACGCCCAGCTAATTTTTTGTATTTTTAGTAGAGGGAGGGTTCCGCCATGTTGCCCAGGATGGTCTCTAACTCCTGAGCTCAGGCGATCCACCCACCTCGGCCTCCCTAAGTGCTGGGATTATAGGCATGACCTACCGCGCCCAGCCATAAACTAGCTTTAAAAGGGCAGAATAGAAGATAGAGATGAAGACAATTAAAATATTCAATCCTCTAAATATAAAAGTTCAAAATAAAACGATTATCTACCACAAGTATCTACACTGACAAAACCAATTTTAAGAAAGACTTAATTACAGTTAAAATCTGTAACCTCAGAAATTATTCAAGTTGTATGAAATAAATGAACCAGTCTTAAGAGAGAAACAGCCAAAGGCTACTGCTAAAAGGAAACATTTTATGCTATTAAGTAATTTTGGCATTCACGCCAACCCTTTATATAGACATCTCCACCTGCAGGTTAGCCTGACATACACCTGCTGAGACCAAGTTGATGTGGAAAAGGTTGCTGCCATCCATCACAGTGAAAATTAATAGCTTTTAATAGTTGAAGAAATAATGGTATGGCACAGCAATCTTATAGCAAATATAATTTGCTACCAAAAAAAGCATAGGCAAAGTCCATTCATAACATTCCCTTCCCATGGCCACCTACATGTTAATTCATTATTCAAATGCCAAAGACAGCAGCAGGCACACATACTCAGCCAAGAAGTCACCATTATAAAAGCTGCATAAACATTTCCTGCTCAATCACCTAAGAATAATAGAATGAGACAAGAAGATGTTTTCCAAGTTATCTCAGTAATAAAACCTGTAACAGCTTTGAAAACAGCATGATTACACGCAAAAATGGCCGCAACCAGTATTTTTTGAGCATCTCATGGAATAATTTATATATCCCAAAATTTCTCTAATTATTTTTGAACATAAGAAAACAAAGAATGCAATCTGACTATAAGTGTTAAGCATTATACAGGCTAAATAAAGCCTGCAAGGCTTCGCCTACGTCAGTTTGCAAAGGATAAACTCAAAATCCTCTTAGGACTACAGAGCTTGAATATAACAAGTAAATAAGGACAACCATTCCTCTCTGTTGTGAAAAATCAAAGTATAATCTGTATTATTTTCCAGAAGTACCTTTTTAAAGCCCTCTGAATACAAGTCCATGGCAACTGTCTGTGTTTTTTCCAACAGGAATTTATAAAAGACACCTTGCTAATGGAAAATATACTGAAAATTTGCAATAATCAATAAAATTTGCAGAATTACCTATCATATCTCAGTAGAAACAAAAACTATTACTTCTCTCACTATAGAAGAGAATGCTATTTTCCTATCCAATACACACTCTCTTCCTTCCTCAATAATGGATCCCCAATTTGATTTGGAGTAGCAATTCATCTAGGTTAGTTTTCCAGTTTCCCTTATAGCTAGGTATGACTATGTGTGTGAGTTTTGGCTAATGGGTGCAAATGTGTGGGACTTTCTGGGAAAGTCACTTATAGGTAGTTGGCTTAACTGAAGGGTGGAGTCATTGATCCACTTCCTCTTTGCTGCTACCTAAGGATACTGATGCAATGGCAGAAGGTCCTGTAGGCACAGTTGTCCATAAAGTCAACTGGCCATGCCAGATGATGATAGGAAGAAGAGGAAACTGGTCCTTAATGACTACCCGTTCCTACCTGTCTCCAGTCTTCTTTCATAAACTTCTATTTTGTTTAAGCCACTTTTATTTTTGAGTTTTGTTTTATGCTGTCAAACTTAAAACTAATATACTCCCCCTTTTTTTTTTTTTTTTGTCAAAGTCACTATTTGGGCCCTAACATAATCCTGCTCAGAGCAACGGAAAAAAGGCAAGCCTTTTCAAACATAACTCTCTCTACAAGCCAGCTATTATGGCAAGGGAAAAAAGAAAGCATCTAGATAAATATCTATCAAAATTAACTTTAAGAGAAATACTCTCTTTCCTTAAAAGCCCTTATTTTTTAAGACACTAGAAAATAAGTTACTATAAAAAGTGGTGGTCTGGGGGCTAAAAACAAAACAAAAAAAATCCTCTTTTCTACATTTTTTAGTTTTCTGGCATATTTTTGAAGATTTTACAGTCCCAAATGAGTCAAATGCCTATTTGTTTTTTGAATAAACAATGGACTTGTCATGTGATATATGTTTCTAAACTTAAGTATTACAGAAAACATCACTATCCATTTGTAAAAAACTCATTCTGGAAAATACCTTTCCCTTGTGTTTGCTATAAAATAACTTTCCATAGAGCTTTTTGGTAATTTTGACATGAAAAAACAACAGCATTCATTTATTTCCCACTTCAAAATCAATGGCCCAGAACTTAAAACATATTTTTACAAAGATGTTAAACTTACTACATCAGGTAATAGCAAAAGGATACTAAATAATAGCAGTTCTAACCTAACTCCTGTTGTATGAGTACGCAATTATTCCAGCTGACAGCTGTGAAGAAGCACTAAATTTTTCTGGTCATCTAAAATATATGTGTATAGTTGCTATGTATAAATCCATGGGCAAATCTCCTAGAATGATTTAGAAAAAGACTAAAGCACATTTCTTATCAAAACTGAATAGTGATTACTTAAACTGATAACCATTAACTGCATTATTCCAAAGTCATATTACACAACCATTTACAAACAATGGTTTACACTGGTCATTTAATAGTTCCTCTACAATTCTTTTACCCCATTCCCAAAAAGAGATGTCAAAAATACTTAAATAACCTAAAAAAGTCAAAAAAGCAAATATTAATTAACTCACTGCTTCTCAAATACTTAGAGATTACCAACTACGTGTCAAGCACAGTGATGATACACAGTATTAGGCAATAGACAGAAATTATTCTTTCATAAAGCTTTCAAAGTGGAGGAAAGAGAAACAATTTTAAAATATTTTTAAAAATCAATACAGAATGTGAAGAGCTGTAAATGAAACAGAATAACATGATTTTTAAAAAGGGGAAATTGTAATATATGTTGAACTCATTCCACAGAATGTTTTGTTAGCCCACAAAGTGTCTTAAAAATCAAGATTAGCCAAAGGGGTAGAAGAAAAATACAGAATTGGTGTCAGAGAAGCTGAGAAGAGAGGAAGTGATCAACTTTCTCTCTGTACGGAATCTATCTGTGCAGAGAGGTTAAGTAGGAGGACAGAAAGTGTCCACTGGGCTCAGCAACATGGAGTTCATGGTGACTTCTCAAGAGCATATTAGAGCATTAGTCAGACTGGAGTCAGTAAATGAGACAGAGAGGGAAATAGAAACTGAATACACACACAACTCTTGAGACATTCAACAGTGACAAGAATAATGAGAGAGTGAAAAGAAATTATTCCTGATAGTAGGTAATAATGATACTATAACACCACTTATGATATAACACTTATGACATAACCACCTATATAGGAAACTTCATTTCTTTCATTCATCATAGGTTCAATGATAGGTGTTTTTGGTTTTGCTTTAGATACTTGACTGCCTCCATTTCAGGTTTCCCTTTCTCTTTTGAAAATTTATTTTTAATTGTATAAGTAATACATGAATGTATTCTACTTGTCAAAAAAAAAAAAACCCAAACAATAGAGATAAAGCAAAATTATCCTTTAACCACCCCCACTTCCCAATCCCAGTTGCATCAGAGGGCTTACACTTACCAATCTCGTGTATATCTTTTTCTATTCATTTGCATACACTGATGCATATGTAGAACCATATATTTGGTTCTTTAGGTATAATTCGTTTACATAAATGTTAACATATTCTATCAATTATTCTGCAATTTGCTTTAGTCCCCTAAAGTATCTTGGGAATCTTTCCATATAAATTCATATAGATCTACAATGGCAAGTTAATTTAATGATTTGGGGTTTTTTTTAAATCTGCTTCAAAAAATTGCAGCAAAGGCCTGAATAAAAAACACCCTTTTTAAAAATCTATCTTCCACGCATTCTCAATGAAGGTAGTATCACTCACAATAGGGCAAATATTGGTTCTTCAGGAATGTAAAAATCTTAGCCATGAAAATGGTTTATGGCCCTCCAAAGCCCATAAATATAAACACATTACATCTATGATATTATAGATAAATATATATTACATCTATGTTAAAATTATCAAAGATAATTAAATATACATTACATCTATATATAAATAATATACATTATAAATAAACATACATTACATCTATGATATTAAAATTTAATGGTGGGTGACACGGTTTGAATATGTGTTCCTTCCAAATCTCATGTTGAAATGCGGTCTCCAGTCAGGCCTTTTCAAAACTATCAAGCAGACAGTCAGGGCCTGTGAAGCGTGCCAAAGAAATAATCCCCTGCCTTATCACTAAGCTCCTTCAGGAGAACAAAGAACAGGCCATTACCCAGGAGAAGACTGGCACTAGATTTTACCCACATGCCCAAATCTCAGGGATTTCAGTATCTACTATTCTGGGTAGATACTTTCACTGGTTGGGCGGAGTCCTTCCCTTGCAGGACAGAAAAGGCCCAAGAGGTAATAAAGGCACTAATTCATGAAATAATTCCCAGATTCGGACTTCCCCGAGGTTTACAGAGTGAAAATGGCCCCGCTTTCAAGGCTGCAGTAACCCAGGGAGTATCCCAGGCATTAGGCATACAGTATCACTTACACTGCGCCTAGAGGCCAAAATCCTCAAGAACAGTCGAGAAAATGAACGAAACACTCAAACAACATCTAAAAAAGCTAACCCAAGAAATCCACCTTGCATGGCCTGCTCTGTTGCCTTTAGCCTTACTAAGAATCCGAAACTCTCCCCAAAGAGCAGGACTTAGCCCATACGAAATGCTGTATGGACAGCCCTTCCTAACCAATGACCTTGTGCTTGACCAAGAGACAGCCAACTTAGTTGCAGACATCACCTCCTTAGCCAAATATCAACAAGTTCTTAAAACATTACAGGGAACCTGTCCCCAAGAGGAGGGAAAGGAATTTTTCCACCCTAGTGACATGGTATTAGTCAAGTCCCTTCCCTCTAACTTCCCATCCCTAGACACATCCTGGGAAGGACCCTACCCAGTCATTTTATCTACCCCAACCGCAGTTAAAGTGGCTGGAGTGGAGTCTTGGATACATCGCACTCGAGTCAAACCCTGGATACTGCCAAAGGAACCCAAAAATCCAGGCGACAGTGCTAGCTATTCCTGTGAATCTCTAGAGGATCTGCGCCTGCTCTTCAAGCAACAACCTTGAGGAAAGTAACTAGAATCGTAGATCCTCGTGGCCCTCCCTTGTTGTATTTTTCTTTTTACTGTTCTCTTACCCCCTTTCACTCTCACTGCACCTCCTCCATGCTGCTGTACTACCAGTAGCTCCCCTTACCAAGAGCTCCTATGGAGAATGCAGCTTCCCGGAAATATTGACGCCCCATCGTATAGGGGTTTTTCTAAAGGAAACCCCACTTTCACCACCTACACCCATATGCCCCTGCACTTTAGGCCATACATTTCAATCCCTGTATCTTTAACCTCCTTGTTAAGTTTGTCTCTTCCAGAATCAAAGCTGTAAAACAACACATCGTTCTTCAAATGGAGCCCCAGATGCAGTCCATGACTAAGATCTACCGCGGATCCCTGGACCAGCCTGCTAGCCCATGCTCCGATGTTAATGACATCGAAGGCACTCCTCCCGAGGAAATCTCAAATGCACAACCCCTACTATGCCCCAATTAAGCAGGAAGCAGTTGGAGCAGTCGACGGCCAACCTCCCCAACAGCACTTGGGTTTTCCTGTTGAGAGGGGGTACTGAGAGACAGGACTAGCTGGATTTCCTAGGCCGACTAACAATTTCTAAGCTTAGGTGGGGAAGGTGACTGCACCTACCTTTAAACACAGGACTTTTGTAACTCAGCTCACATCTGGCCAATCAGGTAGTAAAGAGAGCTCATTAAAATACCAATTAGTCTAAAAACAGGAGGTAAAGAAATAAATCATCTCTCGCCTGACAGCACAGAGGAAGGGGCAATGATTGGGATATAAACCCCAGGCATTCGAGCTGGGAGTGGGCAACCCCCTTTGGGTCCCCTCCCATTGTATGGGAGCTCTGTTTTCACTCTATTCAATCTTGCAACTGCAAAAAAAAAAAAAAAAAAAAAAAAAGAAAAGAAAAGAAAAGTGGTCTCCAGTGTTGGAGATGGGGCCTGGTCAGAGGTGTTTGGATCACAGGGGTGGATCCTCATGAATGGCTTGGCACCATTCCCTTGGTGATAAGTGAGCTCTCGCTCTGAGTTCACATAAGACCTGGCTGTTTAAAAAGTATGTAGTGCCTCCCCCACTCCTTCTTGCTCCTACTCTGGCCATGTGATGTGCCTGCTGCCCTTCTGCCTTCCGCTTCCTGAGGCCCTCACCAGAATCTGATGCCAGTGCCATGCTTGCATAGCCTACAGAACCATGAGCCAATTAAACCTCTTTTCTTTATAAATTAACAGTCTCAGGTATTTCTTTATAGCAATGCAAAAATTACCGAATACACTGGGGGTCTAAAGGACTTCTTAGGATTTTGCTTTTCAAGTAAAACATGTGAGGAGTTCACAAATTTAAAATTATGAAAAACTGGAGGCAAACAAGATGTCCTTTAACAGCTAAATGTATAAACTGTGGTACATCCAACACAATGGAGATTCACTGGTTTTTTTAAATGAGCTATCAAGCCACAAAAAGTCATGGAGGAAACTTTTAACTGCATATTGCTAAACGAAAAAGGCCAGGCTACATACTGTCTGACTCCAACCATGTGACATTCTGGAAAAGGTAAAACTATAGAGACAGTAAACATATCTGTGATTGACAGAGTTTCAGGGGGAGGAAAGAATGGAAGAAGAGGAGAAACACAGGGTATTTTCAGGGCAGTAAGCTATCCTATATAATACTGTAATGGTAGAGATATGGCATTATGCATTTGTCAAAACCATAGAACTGTATAATACAAAGACAGAAACCTAATGTAAACTGATAACGCATCAATATTGGTTCATCAACTGCAACAAATGTACCAAACTAACATAGAAGAAATTATGTGTGGTTGGGGGAGAGTGGCACTTGGGAACTCTCTGTATTTTCTGCACAATTTTTCTGTAAATCTCAAACTGCTCTAAAAAATGAAGTCTATTTTAAAAAACAAAAACTGTCCTTGGAGGAGCAATAATGAAAAAAAGATTGAGAAACACTGCTCTAGTCTTAAAAGACAGTGATTCAAATTTTAAACTTCCAATCTGCTTTCATAGGTTTTAGAATAATATAGAACTGGGTTCAAAATTCTGACATTTACCAATAAGGTGACAAGTTCTTTCACCTCTTAGCATTAAAAAGTAGAGGAAAGAATAAGACAAACTTTTAAAAGGGTATTTATAAAAAGAAAAACATTATGTATAGCAAAGTAAATACAACTGCACATATAAAGTGCTCTGGTTTTCACAAAGAGGAGCTCATTAAAAGGTACCCTGACTTTTTATCATGAAATATCAAAATTTGTGTACATTTCATTCCCATAAAAGGTAATAGGGTGTTTAGATAATTTTATCACTAATTTACTACAAAGGAAATCACCCTAGAAAAATCCACGTTAAAAAAAAAACTTATGACAACTGACAATTTTATATGATAATTACAACATGGAGTTCATGTGGTATAGTACCAATAAATAAACAAATAAATAAATAAATAACTTCCCTGCAGTTTCTTCACCTATCATAGGTAACTTTCCGACTCTTGGTAAAAAATGGAAAATATTTTGTCAATAACTCTGTGCCATATTGGGAATTAAAGTTAAGAATATGGAGTAATAGTAAGGAGTAACTTTTAAAAATTCAAAAACACTGTTATCACTCTGAAATTGTCTACTTTTAAGTCAGAAACAGTATATACATCAATAAAAGGGTAAGTAAAAAGTTTATAGCTGTAATCAGATAATGAATAATTATAACACTAATCTATTAGATTTAGTGTAGATCATCTGAAAATTACAATTAGAACAAAAACTGAAATGCTCCATTTTTCACAAATATGGTCCTCTCAGAAAAAAGTTCCCTTATTCCCATGAGAGAAAGAAATCTAAACAGAAAGTATATACCACTAGAGATTAACAATTCTTCCAAAAAGTTGAGATCCACTAGATATTTTTATTAAAATCCACTCCCTAACATTAATACCAGAAATATGTATAGCAGAAACTTACATCTTACATTAAATACAGAAGACATTCTACTTTTACCACCCTCAATTACCTCTTCTAACCAGTAATCTTCTCTACTTTGTATTTATTATATATCTATAACAACAAGGAATTTACCTTTCTTTTTCAAAATGTCCAATAAAACATGCTTTGTGGTCCACAGACAAAGGGTATTATATAATCTTAAAATTATAAATAAATCAGCCAATCACTGTTATATTTCTAATATTAAAAATAGCTAACACAAATAGCATTTACTAGATGGAAGGAACTGTTCTAACTACCTTATATATATAAATTGATTTGATACTCACAAAAGTCCTTCGAGGTATGTACTATCATCAACTCCATTCGGATGATCAGATGCAGTGACCATACCAAAAGGTATAAATTAAGAATTTTCATATAACTTCATGTCTACTGTCACATGACTGATAGTAAAATACAGCAATCACAAACATGTATCCTGATTTCAGAGCCCTTAGAATGTGAAAAAAATGTATGCAGCTCAGAATCAAATTAAATAGGGCATTTTCATACCATTTTAGAGATGAGAGAAATGAGAAAGAGGTTATACAGCTCGTTCAAGGTTATATGGCTTATACATATAATCTCTCTGTTATGAAGAGAGACCAACACAGTGCTGTCTATGATGCCTTAGTGTGTATGATAAAATCAGTTCTAATTCATGAAACTATTCTGAAAAAGTACTTTATGTAAAACTTTTACATTTGAGATATATTAATATGTGGTATAAAAGAATATCCATTATGACAACAATGTACAAAAGTATATGATATCATTCATATGACTATTTCAGGGAACTTCAGGAGAATCAGCTCATGACTTTAAGCATGGTTATCAATTTTTATTCTTTTTTATAAAGGTAGCCAAAAGATCTTCAGACTCCAAACAATTCTCCCTGTGCAGTCAAATAAAGACATCTCATCACCATTTTTCTATTCCCATAATAATCTGAATTCTTAACTCAAGTTTCCAAAAATATAATATTTTTCTTCCTCTTCCTTCTGCATAGCTAACAGAAGGTAGAAAATACACGTGGCACTTCTCCTGACAGCTTCTGGAAAGCACTGAGCAGGAAAGAAGTGAGAGCATCTCTGTTTCCACAATGCCTTTGGCAATCCAGAACACCTGCCCTTTAAATCACCCTCACTAGAGTAAGAACAATCTCTATAAAATATGACGCAGAAATGGCGACTAAAAACAGTACCAACATTAGATTCTTTATATATTCTTCCACAGTTTAAAAAAAGTTATTTGGTATACATTTAACTAAATCATCTGAGTCACAATCATGATTTCTTTGGCCACAAACAAATCATTTCACAAAATCTTTAACTCTACTTTTTGTTGACCATTTGAAAGCGTCAGTAAGCATCTGAGGCTTTCTTCCTAAAACCACTGACAAAATTTTTCATTCTGTGAAATGAAATTCCAAAACTTTTAAAAAGTCATTTAAAAGTTAACAGCTTTGCTAATAAATTAGTGCCCAATATTATGTCCTACTATATACCTCAGATGACAGAAGCATAGGCAATAGACTTCTCTTAGCACCAACAGAAAAAAAGCAGCTGGGATTGTATGTGCCTTAGAAATGTTCCAGAAAATCTGCTTCAGCACAGTAAAAACGGTGCCACACTCCACAGAAAAACAACAGAGGGAGACAGTAGAACTAACTTCAAATGCTCAATCCCCAACTTCCTTAAAAATGCAGTAATTGGGAGAAAGAGGACAGAGGAAAATATAACTTCAATTCTGCGAGCAGAAGCAAAACAGAGAAGGGAAAGTTCTGTCTCAGACCCTGCAGTTATTTTTAAGTTTCTTACTGAGAAGAATCATAGATCTACATGGATCCCTTCTACCCAAGTTTATTCTCTGGCTTTTGAAAAAAGAATAAAATCCTGAAACTAATAAACATTAGATTCTAAGACTCTGAATAACAAGAGAAAAATAAATTCCTCCACGGAAGTTAACTGCAGCTTACTGTCTCAAAATTTTGGAAAGCAGAATTATAGCCCTTGTGGATTTAAACTCTCCAATGGTTTCAACTACATTAAAAATTAAATACAAATAAATGTCACAACCTCAGAGGCCCTTAAGATCTGGCTCCTACTTACCTTTCCAATCTTATCCCCACTACATCTAATTAAAGGATAAAAGCCTTCAATTAGTTCTCAAAATTGTCAAGCTTTTCTTCTTCTAAAGCTCTGAACATATTATTCTCACTGCAGGGATAGGACTAGACCTTTATGTTTCAGTTTAAATATATCTCATCAGGGACACCTTTTCTTTTCTGGTTGTCTTATCTTTTCATCTTTTTTTTTTTTTTTTTTTTTTTTTTTTTTGAGACAGAGTCTCACTTTGTCACCTAGGCTGGAGTACAGTGGCGCAATCTTGGCTCACTGCAACCTCCCCACAACAGGTTCAAGGAATCATCCTGTCTCAGCCTCCTGAGTAGCTGAGATTACTGGCACCCGCCACCACGCCCCGGTAATTTTCGTATTTTTTGGTAGAGACAGGGTTTCACCATGTTGGCCAGGCTGGTCTCGAACTCCTGACCTCAAGTGATCCTCCTGCCTCAGCCTCCCAAAGTGCTGGGACTACAGGCATGAGCCACCACACCTGGCCAAGTCCTTTAAGGGAAAAAATAGAGTATCTAAGAAACACTGGGAAACCCTTCACATAATTTCTTTTAATCTTCACAAGAAACCTTAGATACTATTATTCTAGATGAGGAAATAGATTTGATATGAAGATTAAGCAGCTGGTCCACGGTCCCACAGGTAAAGCAAAGACTCAAGCCCAAATGGGTCTAATTCCAAGCCTACAATCTTTCTGCTACATTATATTGCCTCTCTGTTTGAAAGAAAACTATCTTACCAGAAGGAAATGCTTAATTAAATACAGAGCTACAAAAGGACAGTGGTTTACATAAAAATCTATGAACTGAAAATCTGGATAATTAATTTCATATTCACTATCTTTATTTCTTTTATATTAGCAATCCTAGCTAACTGGGATCATGCTAGATTTAAAAAACAATAGCTATTTATTCTACAGACCCAAAGAGTTCATACGGTTGATATGGTTTGTCTCTGTGTCCCCACCCAAATCTCATCTTGAATTGAACTCCCATAATTCCCACATGTTGTGGGAGGGACCTGGTGGGAGATAACTGAATCATGGGGGCAGTTTCCCCATACTGTTCTCGTGTTAGTGAATACGTCTCATGAGACCTGATGGTTTTATCAGGGGTTTCCACTTTTGCATCCTCCTCATTCTCTCTTTGCCTACTGCCATCCATGTAAGATGGGACTTGCTCCTCCTTGCCTTCCACCATTATTGTGAGGCTTCCCCAGCCACATGGAACTGTAAGTCCAATTAAACCTCTTTATTTTGTAAATTGCCCAGTCTCAGGTATGTCTTTATCAGCAGCATGAAAATGGACTAATACAATAGTATATGTAAAATGCTATTTCTTTTCTATACTTTATATAATTGCTATAATAGGTAAATCAAGTAGTTAAACTACAGAATTTCTCAGTTTAGCCTTAGGAATTCAGCTACTACGTATTCGGAAATGGCTTTTTTTTTTTTTTTTTTTTATGAAGAGACAAGATTTTCAACATTCTCCAATTAAGGTTAATAAATTGGGATAATATTTAGGCCAAATTAATTTGAAAAAGCCATTCACAAGTATTCTGGAAATACAAGGGGACTCCAAAAAGTTTGTGGAAAAAATGGAATTAGATGAAAATAGAAAGTATAAACTTTATTTCTCAACATAAGCTCCATCAAGGTCAAGACACCTGTAGGCAATAATAACACATATTTAGTCCATCCTTAAAGAACTGAGGGTCCTGCATTAACCATGTCAATGCAGTCTTTTTTACATTTTTAACTGAAGAAAAATGGATACGCTTTATAGACGTTTTAAGATTAAGAAATAAAAAAGTCAGAAGGAGCCAAATCAGGACTGTAGGGTGGATGCCTAATAAATGTGCATCAAAACTATCCCAAAATTGACCTTGTTTGATGAGAAGAATGAGCAAGAGCACTATCATGGTGGAGAAGGACTCTCTGGTGAAGCTTTCCTAGGCATTTTTCTGCTCAAGCTTTAGCTAACTTTCTTAAAATACTCTTACAATAAGCAGATGTTGGCATTCATTGGCCCTCCCAAAAGTCAACGAGCAAAATGCCTTGCGTATCCCAAAAAAAGTGTTGCCATGACCTTTGTTCTTGATCAGTCTGCTTCTGCTCTCACTTCCAACTCTTGGTAGCCAGTGATTTGATTGTACTTTGTCTTCAGGATGTACTGGTAAAACCATGTTCATTTATTGTTAAAATTCTTCAAAGAAATCCTTCAGAATGTTGATCCCACCTGTTTGAAATTTCCAGTGAAAGCTCTGCTCTTGTCTGCAATTGATCTGGGAGCAACAGTTTTGGCACCCACTGAGCAGAGTCAGAATTGTGTAAAATGAACCAGCTGAAATGTCTATGGCGTTGGCTATTGTTTTTGCTGTTAATCATCGGTCTCCTGCAATTAGAATACGAAAAAGATTAACTGATGTCGATTGCCTGCCCCTATAGCAGGCTTCACCTTCAACATCATCTAATCCTTCTTTTTTTTTTTTTTTTTTTTTTGAGATAGGGTCTCACTTTGCCACCTAGGCTGGGGTGCCATGCCACGATCACGGCTCACTACAGCCTCAACCTTCCAGGCTCAAGCAATCCTCCCACCTCAGCTTCCCAAGTAGCTGGGACTACTCACTCTAGGCCATGTCCTGAGATTACCCAAACAGCTCTACAGAGAGGTCCACATGATTAACAACTAAGGCTTCCTGCCAAAAGCCAGAGAGGAAGTAAAGTCTCCTGACAATAGCCATCCTCCCACCCCAAAGAGGCCTTCAGATGACTTCAGCCTTGCCAACATCTTGCCTACAATGTTATGAGAATCCCTGAGCCAGAACAACTCTGCTAAGTGGCTCCTAAATTTCTGATGCACAAAACTATGTGAGATAATAGATAAATGTTCATTGTTTTAAGCTGCTAAGTTTAGGGGTAGTTTGTTATACAGCAATAGATAAAAAATTTAAGTATCTCTCAATTATTAAATTTCTCACATTGTTTGCACCTCAACTTTTTTCCTTTCCCAACATTCATCAGAATCTTGAGGAGCAAGGCAGCTATTAATTAGAAAAGGTATCTCCACATGATCGTCACACCCTTCCCTGATTTGACAGTCACTCATAAAGAACATAATTAGCTGAAAATAAATGAGGTGCCCTTTAGATGTTAAGTACAGTAAGAAAGAGAGGCACTGACAAACTTAGCACTATTACTTACTGGTTTGACTTATTTAAACCTCAGGGGGATTCCCTCTACTCTCTCTTTTATATTTGCCCTGTGGAAAGGCTTTCATTGGGAGCAGGGCAAGAGCCCTAACCAGAATTTTTATGAAAACCTAATAACCCTAAAGTACCTAATTACATATCAGACAAATTTTCAAAACTTTGTTAGACAGTGAGTTATAAAGCAACTTACATTACTTCCCTGCCACCACACATTCCCCAACTCCTTACCGCAAAACAAAGTAATTTAAAAAAAAAAAAAAAAGAAGTAACAGGGAGCAGAATGTTTTCTGGTGGCATTTAAGATTAAGAAAGTTAAATAACTTCCTTGCACACACACCACATTCAAGTCTGTCCTGCTATTCATAGAGTTGCTAGGTTTACTTGTGGCTGAAACAGTGTCACCAAAGTGATCATGGAAAGGCAGATAACAGGCTTTTTGTTTCATGCCATGATAATATTTATAACAAAAAGGCAGGGGAGCAAAATGCGTAAGAGTAAAGCTAATGCCTCAGACAAGTTTACTAAAAAGTTGAAGTGAGGAAACGAAGAAAGGGATGCAGTAGAAGGATGACAGAGGACAAAGCATTGAGCTCTAAAACATACCAAACTGCACTCTTAATTAATGGATTTCACTTCCCTGCCTCAAACTCTTCTAAAAGTATCATTTAAATTTCTGAATTGTAGGCCGGGCACAGTGGCTCACGCCTGTAATCCCAGCACTTTGGGAGGCCGAGGCGGGTGGATCACCTGAGGTCAGAAGTTTGAGACCAGCCTGGCTGACATGGACTCTGTCTCTACTAAAAATACAAAAATTAGCTAGGTATGGTGGCACATACCTGCGGTCCCAGCTACTTGGGAGGTTGAGGCAGGAGAATCGCTTGAACCCGGGAGGCAGAGGTTGCAGTAAGCCAAGATTACACCACTGCACTCCAACCTGGGTGACAGAGCAAGACTCCGTCTCAAAAAAAAAAAAAAAAAAAATTCTGAATTGTAAAAGGTGAATCAAAACAACAAAAATGACATACAAATCAGTTATGGTACACATCCTCCAAACCTTAGAAAAAATAAAATCCATCTTGCTATTCAAATTCTACCTCCAAGTTAAATACCCAAAGAGATTTCTCCTCAACTTTAAAAAGGTGTCATTCATAATTGCAAAACCACCATTACTTTTGCACCAACCTAATAACTACTTTGTATAACTACAGGTAAATTACTGGGTGATTTATGTTCTCCTCATATATGATCCTATTCACTTCTAGATTAGAAACTACAAACATAAAAGCTTGCTTATATGATCTTCAAGCCCACAGAAGATCAGAAAGAAATAAGAAAACAGGTAACAGGTATGGTACACTGACAGTAGTAAATTATTTTTTTAAGGAAAAAGAGGCCAGTCACAGTGGCTCACACCTATAATCCCAGCGCTTTGGGAGGCCAAGGCAGGAGAATCACTTGAGCCCAAGAGCTCGAGAACAGCCTTGGCAACATAGTGAGACTCTGTCTCTACAAAAAAAAAAAAAATTTAAAATTTTTTAAATTAGCCAGGCATAGTGGTATACACTTGCAGTCCCAGCTACTCAGGAGGCTGAGGTAGGAGGATGGCTACAGCCCAGGAGTTTGAGGCTACACTCCAGTGTGGGTGGCAGAGCAAGACTCTAAGAGAAGGAAAAAGAGAAGGGGGAAGAGAGGGAAGAGAAAGAGGGAAGGGAAGAAGGAGGGGAAGGGAGGAAGAAAAGATGCCTGACAATGAGGAAGGAAACAAAAATTCTAAAACATGATTACAAAGACTCAAAACAGAATAGCCTAATTGGAATTTTAGTATAGGGATAAACAGTTGCACCATGTTCAAAACTACTGAGGGCATTCAGGTAGCATGTAATTGTTACTTTTATAAACATGTCAAGTTAATACAGTATAATATTTAAGAGTTCAGGCTCTGTGGTCGGGCTGCCCAGAATTCACAGTAGCATTCAGCTACTCACAATTCATGTGACCTCAAGAAAATTAACATCATTTTACTTCCTTGGGGATAACTCACCTACTCCTCAGTCTAACATTTAACTTGTGCATGATAAGGAAATAAGATAGTTGATAAAAGAATGTTCAGCTAAGTGTCAGGTTTTTGGAAAAACCACCACCACCTTGCAAGAGTTACTAAAAGAATGTTAAATTAGGTCTGGTGTATACTTTCCAACAGGGAAGAGAATGAACTGAAATATATCCTAGCTGGGTGCAGTAGCTCACACCTGTAATCTCAGCATTTTGGGAGGCCAAGGCAGGAGGTCTGCTTGAGACCAGGAGTTTGAGACCAGCCTCGGCAACAAATACGTACCCTGTCTCCACAAAAAAAAAAAAAAAAAAAAAAAAAAGATTATCCAGGCGTGGTAGTGCACGACTACAGTGCCAGCTACTCAGGAGGCTGAGGCAGGAGGATCACTTGAGCCTGGGAGTTCAAGACTGCAGTGAGCTATGATTGTGCCACTGCAGTCCAGTCTGGGCCACAGAGTGAAACCCTGTCTATACCTAAATAAATAAATATTTCCATTTAAGAGGCTTGCCTTTAAAAGGGTCTTGGCACTTACTGGGTTTTACTCTAATTATTTGGAATTTTAAAACATGAATTAATCTCGTAACCTAACAATAACACATGTTTTTTTTTGGTTTTTTTTGTTTTTTTTTTGTTTGTTTTTGAGACAGAGTCTCGCTCTTTCACCCAGGCTGGGACTGCAGTGGTGCTATCTCGGCTCACTGCAAGCTCCGCCTCCCGGGTTCACGCCATTCTCCTGCCTCAGCCTCCCGAGTAGCTGGGACTACAGGCACCCACCACCGCGCCCGGCTAATTTTTTGTATTTTTAGTAGAGACGGGGTTTCACTGTGTTAGCCAGGATGGTCTCGATCTCCTGACCTCGTGATCCGCCCGCCTTGGCCTCCCAAAGTGCTGGGATTACAGGCGACAAATGTTATTTTTTAAGTGAAAGGAATATATGACAGGAAAAGCCAAATCAGAAGACCAAGATTAATATTTGATTACATCTGCCAAACAAGGTGAAGAAAAAACAAATCTTTAGTCTAGAGGTTTGTTTATTTTGTTTCCCCCTAAAGTTAGCATCTAAAGACCAGGACTAAATCTAAGATACTAGACGTTACATATGGCTTCCTTACATTTCCCGTATGATAAACTATTCAATATATACTGTAGTCAAGACCGCATTCAAGAACTAACTTGTACACAATATATAATAAGTAAAAGAATAAATTATCTCTCCCACACAGAGGTGATATAGTTGAGATTATGTAAGATTTTCTACGGGGGAAAAACATGCTCCTTCAAACATCAGATGTCAAAACAAATACAGTGGCCCAGGGGGATATTTCAGGGCAACTTAACATAAAACAGAAAAGAAACTTAATTAAACATTTTTCTTTTAACCTTCAACCTCCAAAGTCCAAAGTCATATGACCTGCCAATTGTCAATCACATATTACATCTCCTTGTGTTAAAATTTGGGTAGAAGTCAATGACCACAGGCCCAGAGTGACAATGAAACAGATATGGAAATTGGCCTTTAAAAAAATCAAGTTTGAGACATTATCTTAAATGCACTATATAGTAATTGTTTTATAAACTGCCCTGCTGAATTTGAATATACTACGGAAAAGACCTGTTCTATATTTGAAATGAAGCTTTTCCTTAATTATGTAAATGTCTGTGTATCATAAAAAGGGAAACTCTGTAATACTAACACTTATGTTAATTCTAAAATATAAATCTGGCCAATGAGTCCTGGTGTTTTAATTATTCTAATTTAATGTACTAGTGTCAAAAAGAAAAAAACATGTTTTCACGTGCATACATGTATCAAACATTTATTTTTCAACAAAGATGCCAAGAGCACTCAATGAGGAAAGGAAAATCTTTCTAACAATGATGTCAGGATAATTGGATATCCACAGGCTAAAAAATAATCTTATGGGCTCTTACCTCATAATCATACACAAAAATTAACTTAAATGGATCACGGGTCTAAATTTTAAAACTAAACTATAAAATTTCTTCAAAAAAAAAAATGTTCATGACCTTCAATTAAGCTGAGTTCTTAGATATGATACTAAAACCATCAATTGTAAAAGAAAAACCTGACGAACTGAACTGCATCAAAATTTTAAACTTTTATACTCCAAAAGACATCAAGAAATAAACAGGCCACACACTAAAAGAAAACATATAAAAATCACCTATCTTTATAAAGATCTTTTATTCAGAATATATAAAGAATTCATACAATTCATTAAGCAGACAGACAGCCCAATTTTAAAATGGACAAAACATATGAAGTGACACTTCAGTAAAGAAAATATACAAATATATAGTAAGCACATAACAAGGTGTTCAACATCATTAGTAATCACAAAAAATACAAGTTAAAACCACAATGAAATGCCACTTTACGTACATTAGGATGGCTACTAGAAAATGAAAAAAGTAACAGAAAAATAAGTGTTGGGGAGGATATGGAGAAATCAGAGCCCTTATACAATACTAGTGGAAATGCAGAATGGTGCAGCTGCTATAGAAAACAATTTGGCATTTCCTCAAAAGGTTAAACATAGAGTGACTATATGACCCAGCCATTCCAGTCCTAGGTATATGCCAAAGAGAACTGAAACCTATGTACCTTAACATATAAAACATACGTATGTTCATACTATATAAAACATATGTATGTTAACATAAAAACTTGTACATGAATGTTCATAGTAGCATTATTCATAATAGCCGAACAACCCAAATGTCCATCTACTAATGAATGAATGAATGAATGAATAAACAAAGTATGGTATATCTATACAATAGAATCTTATTCAGCCAAAAAAAAGAATGAAGTACTAATTCACGTTACAACATGGATGAACCCTGAAAACACCATGGTGAAAGAACCCAGTCACAAAGAGCCACAAATTTTATGATTCTATGTATTGAAATGTCCAGAAATGGCACATTTAGGGGAATCAGAAAGCAGATCAGTGGTTGCCTAGGGCTGGGAGTGGGAATTAACTGCAAACAGATACAAAGGAATTTGTGGGAATAATGGAAATGTTCTAAAACTGGATTGAAGTGATGGTTATACGACTTTATAAATTTACTAATAATCAGTGAATTGTACAATTACAATGAATGAATTTTATGTACATAAATTACACCTCAATAAAGTTACTTAACAAAAAAAGATGTACAGAGTATTATTGTTTCAAATAAAAACAACAAAATCATTTCCTTCTCTCTATTATAACATCACCAATGTGAGATTCTGAGTAACTCATTTAATCCTCATAACAAACTAACAAGTAGAATTCTATTATTACCTTCATATCACAAACCAGGGAACTGAGACAGAGAAATTAAGTATTATGTTATTCAGTTAATAAATGGCATGACCAGAGTTAGAACTCCTATTTATCTGACTTCAAATAATAAAAATTGATAGGCACTTCATTTGTTCACAAAATGCATAAGCATTTTTTTCTATGAATCAATTTTTTGAATTCTGAGGTTTTAAAGGAAAGAAATTCTTTAGACACCAAAGAGATCATAAATACTCGGGTAGTGATGTAGAAAGAACACTTCATTGAAGTCAGAAGAACCGGGTTGATGAACCTTAGGTGAAAATGAAAGAATTGAACTACAGTATCTTTAAGGGCCCTTTCAAATTTTGTTCCACAAAATCAAATGTCTTCCACAGAAAATTGAGAAATTTTTCACCACTGGTTTTCCATAGCTTTAGTAACTTAGTTACAGAGCAATCATTTCCTCTTCTTAATTTTTTATATTTAGAGGCAATGCTCTTTATCTGGCTCTGTCTTTTTCTACCAGTCATTTACAGTAAACTTCTATTCTTTAAAAAGAAATTAACACTGACAAAATTCAACTGAAATGATGTACAATTCTCCTGATCAGGGATTGAGGGGGAAATGTATAGGCTATGGGAGCACATGTATGAAAAGTCTAGATTCTAGAATAAGTATGGAGATACTAGATATTAAAGGTGATCTTTTAAAGATCACCACTAGAGGAATGTATCTCCAGCCTAAAAGTAACAAAGTTATAAAATGTAATGTTCACTCCATTTCCTCTGTAAGCCTTGAGTTTTGTTTCTATCAGGTAATTCTCTCAAATACAGGGTTTCAAAAAAGACAGGCTCTTTCCAGATAATTTATCCCTGAAATTTTAAAAATCAGAGAAAACACTATCAATGACAAAGGAATGATGTATTATGATTACTTACTATGAAAAATGGCAAAGAAAGAGTTACTGCTGTTCTTGTTATTTTCACAGGAAAAAAGAGGATTGCAATTACCATTTCCTTGTGCCTTTAAACGCTTCTATTTCAGAATAGAAAATATTTTTTTTCCTGCTGCCTAATTTTTAACAGGCTATGTATTTCTCTAAAACTCAAGAATAATTCGAAGCCAAGAGAAAACACTGAACTTAATAAATATACTATCATTAAGTACTGGGTAATAACAAATATTAGAAGGAATGCTACTTAAAAACCAGGTATAACCTTTGATAAGTCTCTATCTTCAAGCCACTATACTGTGACACATTCCACACATTCTGGAAATATTAATCATTACAGGTTGAGTCAACTCAACCTACAGTTTGTGGGTCACAAGATGACTGAGGCGAAATAAGCTACAAAATGAAGGACAAAGAATTAGACAGCAATCCTACCTTAAGTATTTCAGAAAGAAAGACAGTATTAATCTAGCTGCTATAAGTGGGTGTTTGCTTCTCTTGTGCTGAAGGCCAAGCCTCAAACCACTGACTGAGTCAGTTTTACTCAGAGAAGTCATGAGGCAGCAGACTGGACATGACAGCATGCTATGTAATGAATGACACACCCTGTTTCTGAGCACAAACCTGAAGCATCAGAACAATGTTAATAAAAGTCATTTACAGGAATTGAATGAATGTCACTGCTCCCTTCTTATCTTTCCACTCCCCATCATCTCCCATGGAATATGAAGAACAACTTCCAAACAGTAATGCAAGTAGAAATCTGAAAAAGGCAGCCAGGTTGTAAAGTGTACTCACTCTTGAGCTTTCCCACATTTTTATTTAAATAGATTTCAGAAATAAGTGAGACAATTTTAATAAACTATTCAATATAACTACCTGTACATGGTTAAAAGTGTTTTTTAAAAGGTAATGACTAAAAGAATGGTGTTTCTTTAAATCTTACTCATGGAGGGTGCAAATGCACAGTGCACAGCCCATCCCAGATGTTCAATATTACACAACAATATGGCCAGAGTCTAGAATCCTGATTATGCCAGTCAGGATTGCCTTGCTAGTCAACCTAGGCAAATAAATAGATGAATATTTCTACTTACAGCATTTATTTACTGTCTACAATCTTAAAAAATATACATTATATATCTTTACATGTGTTTGAGACTTGTCACTGCAACTAGACAACAGGCTATTTGAGGGCAGGAACCAGGTCTTCTGCTTCGTGCTACTGATTACAAGATAATAACACAGGCTCCACAGCCATATCACCAGGTTTCAAATCCAAACTCCACCACCAGCTTTGTGACCTTGTCCAAGATACTTATCTTCCCTATGTCTCAGTTTTCTTATTTGCAAGAGAGGTAAGAGCATATGACTGCTGTAAAATTTATACAAGTAGTAAGTTCTGAGTACCCAGAAAGTGTCTGGCACATAGTAAACATTATAAAATATCAGTTATTATAACTATCTGTATCCCTACAATGCCTAGCACCAGCCCTTGCTCCTTAGGTAGGTGTCCAAGTATCTGCCAATTGGCCAAAAATATGTACTATATCAACAATACAATTTCTCTCACTGTCACCATCTAATTTATGAAAAATGAACTCTCTGCTATTCTAGAATATCTTCTTTAATTCTTCAAGATGTCTTACGCAATTAGTCTAAAATGTAGGATTATATATCCCTACTTTTCAATCTAGTTGAAAAGGAAATGAAAAATAACTAACTAAACAAATTATTCACCTGTTCGTTCTGCATCTGTTTGACAGTCCCAGCTACTAAGTGTGAGAAAGCAGAAGCCTTGTCAATGTAATTGTAAGCTACTTAAAATATCACATCGATTATCAGAATACAGGAAAGTATACTGTTATTCTTCTGAAAAATAATTAAGTTAATTTCAGTAGCAAAAAATAAAACACCATGATTTTAAGCTTTTTGAGGCCCTCACCAGAAGCAGATGCCGGCACCACATTTCCTGTACAGCCTGAAGAACTCTGAGACAATTAAACTTCTTCTCTTTATAAATTACCCAGCCTCAGGTATTCCTTCACAGCAACACAAAGTGGACTAATACAGTAAGCATATATTCTACGTTGCATATGAAGAGATGCCATTCCAAAGACCTAGGAAATAATTTAGTGAAAGAAACTTAAAATAAGGTAGTAAAATATATTCTCAGCAACTACCACCAGTCAGATAATTCAATTTCCCCTAAAATATAAAGCAAAAATGATCTGAAATGTAAAACATTTACTATACATATGCCACAGAAATTGGCCAAAATGCTGCATATTTGCTAGAGGAAATAAGATTAAAGGAAGCATTTCAAGTGACCAGAACTTCCTTAACATACTTTTTCTAACTGATGTTTGGGCAATAATTCTCCCAGGATATTTCTGCCAATTTGTAAGAACCTAAAAAGGATAGGAGATAATTTCTCTAAGTATGAGATATAACATTTTCAAACTCAAGTTTTTTACCTCACTATAACACTTCTTTGATGCTGAATTAATAGAAAAGAAAGCTTATGGAGAAAGGAAATTCTACCACTGAAATACTGCGGCATTTTAAAAGTTAACCCATTTTAATAAAGCTGATAAAAAATGTGTTTTTTTAAAAAACCAAATCAACTGATACAAGCTGGTAATAAAATTAGAGAGTCTCTCCCAAAGGAGGGCGGGGCAATTCTGAAAGAGAGGCTATTGTCTCATACCATATAGGTCTAATAGGTTATCATACATAAAATACAAATAACATTTTCTTATTAAAAATCTTACTAAAGCTGTTGAAAGAAAACTTAGGTTTAATCAAAATATCTTTGCAAAATAAACATCCTAATAAAAGAGTAAACTAACGGTAAAATAACCACAACTTACTAAGCTACTCGTTTATAAAAATATTTGCCTCCCGTCCACTAAACTCTTATCTACAGAGAATATGGACTGCAAACTAAATTATATTTTAGAAAACATTTCTCTAAGGCAGAGTTTCTCAGCCTAGGTACTTACCCTTGATATTTGGGACAGGATAAGTCTTTGGTATGAGGGGCACCATGCACTCTAAAATGTTTAGCAGTACTCTGGGCTCCACCCACAAGATACCAGTGGCTCCCCACCCCCCTACTCCAGTTGTGACAACCAAAAATGTCTGCAGACTTTGTCAAATGTCCCCTGGAGGGCAAAATTCCCCTAGGCTGAGAACTACCACTCTAAGGATTGAACAGCTTTGACAGAACTTCAGACTCTCTCCTATCCTCTCTACATAAAATTTAATAAAAATTAGCTACCACTTCTTCCAGTGATTTTCAAATTTTATGCCCAAAGCCCTGAGTCCCTAGGAAATGTCTCAGGAACACCCATGGGGTATGTAACCAGAGCAGGTCTACTTTCATTTTCTGGGGTTCTGGATATTTCCTTTGGGTGGGAAAAAGTTTGGAAATCCTGTCATAGATAAGTATGTCACTAATAGTGCATTTTGGGCCAGGCAAGGTGGCTCATGCCTATAATCCCAGCACTTTGGAAGGCCGAGGCAGAAGGATCGCTTGAGCCCAGAAGTTCAAGACCAGCCTAGGCAACATGACAAAACCCCATCTCTACAAAAAATACAAAAATCAGTGGGGCATCATGGCGTGCACCTGTAGTCCCAGCTACTCAGAAGGCTGAGGCAGGAGGATCAATTGAGCCCAGGAGGTTGAGGCTGCAATGAGCCATGGCTGTACCACTGCATTCCGCCTGGGTGACAGAAAAAACAAAAATATTACCTTTTATACAACATCAAATTTAAAACCTCACATTTTTTTCTGTCACTTCTCTATTTTTAAATTCAGGATCAATTTCAGAAAACCTGACATCTGGAAGAGCTCTAGGAGAGAGGACAGTGAAGTGGGGACCACAAAGCAAGTTTGAACATGTAGCTTATCTATATCTACTTAGCGCAACAGGAACTGTAAATGTAGTTTTTAGAAGCATTACAGTACTTTCTACTTTGGTTAAACAAAAATTAGATGTTCAAAGCCCTGAATTATAAAATTCAAGGCCAAGTTTCGTCCTCAGGAGAAACTAATAAATGAAATGAATGCTATAATTATGTGTTAGCTTTTAAAACTCCAAAAATTCATTCAATTCATAAATTGAAAACAGATACCCTCGTTCTCTCTCAGCCTTCAAAGATCTCATAATTTAATCATCTTAAACAGGTGAGCAATACGTATAACATGTTGAATGTTCTATGTCAGGAGATCTCGACTTTTAATGTATATCCAAATTACCTGGGTGCCTGTTAAATGCAATTCCTAGGCAGCTCCCAGATATTCTGATTGGTGAGAGATGGGTGAAGGAAGGGTCCAAGGATCCGAATTTTTAACAAGCATTCCAGGTGATTTTTAGATAGATGATCTGAAAAACTCATTTTGTAAAACACTGGTCAATATGCTGAATTTGGCACACACATTATATAGCGTTATCATGAAATTCTATCCTTTTCTATCCCTAGACTATTCCATACTTGGTATTATCACTAGTCTCTGGTCAACTCATCTAAGATCTAAAAATTAATTTTAAATACTATACAATTAAAATCATCCAAAGTAGTGTGTGAGCAAAAAAAAAAAAATGGAAAGTAAGTATTACAGATTCATTTTATGATGAATAGCTAGGCTATAAAATTTGACAAATCCAAACCATTAATCTTTCCCTTGTGAAAAAAACTACATTTATCCCAGCTATAATTTTATATATTACAAGACATTCAAAAAAAACAAAAACTTTACTGGTTATGAAAATCCAAGCTCCTTGATAAAGATTTTCATGCACCACAAACATACTTGGCTCTAACAAATAGTACAGTCAGTTCATGAATCAGTCTTCATTTATTTTCTTCCTGGACACACATTAAGTTGATGTTCTAGGATGCAAATAGATAAATGACTTCTAGTGTCATTTCTGAAATCCAGTCATTATGACTGCATTCCTACTATAGTCTGAACACCTCAAAATATTTCAGCAAATGGCCATGTCAATTTCAACTTCTCCATTTCTGACCCAAACACAGTCAAAGCAGGCAGCATTAGTTTCTTTTTGACTTAATGTGTATCCCCAAACACTCAATTTTTTACACTCCAGTGTTGGCTTTATAAGACATATAAACAATCCCATACTTGTCGTATTTTTTCTTACACCAGACAAAAACAGATCGGTGATAAAGCACACTGATGTTTTTACATTTCACCTAACATACCAAACCGATTTTAATGCACATTTCATGAATCTCAGGCTGGTGGTACATTCAGTCACTATTTCAGCAGTAACAATGAGAGTCAGCTCCATGGATTCCACGCTCCTTTGAAAAGACTCAGCATGTCCTTTGTTTTCAAGATACAGAATACCATAAATAAAAACGAGGCAGTCTAACAATGACTTGGTCCTAGAGCCAGGCTGAGCTCTTAAAGAGCCTCCAAAAGCCTCCAGAAAAAAAACCAGAAAACAGTTATCAGGAAGACTAAAGCCAAAAATGAGGTGATGTCAGTGAAAAATGGCAAAGAAAAAAAAAGTGGGGTTAGGTTTTTTTCTATTTGTTATTGTTTTGTTTTAAGCTATACACAGAGTAACATGAAAGAAACTCAGAGAGGTTCAGGGTTGGGGGAAAAGAGTATAACAACAACAAATGGGCTGGGCATGGTGGCTCATGCCTGTAATCCCAGCACTTTGGGAGGCTGACTGGGCAGATCACCTGAGGTCAGGAAATTCAAGACCAGCCTGGCTAACACGGCAAAACCCCAGCTCTACTAAAAATATAAAACTTAGCCAGGCATGGTGGTGCGCACCTGTAATCCCAGCTACTCAGGAGGCTGAGGCAGGAGAATCACCTGAACCCGGGAGATGGAGGTTGCAGTGAGCCAAGATCACGCCACTGCACTCCAGCCTGGGCAAGAGTGAGACTCCATCCCAAAAAAAAAAAGAAAACAACCAATGATGAAGAGAAAGCAGAAATACTTGATTTCTATTAGAAGAGAGGTTGAGAAATCAACCACTGGATTAGTCTCTAACTGAGCAAATCACAACCTATTTTAGCCTCAGTTTCTTCATCTATAACCTTGTGTATTTCACAAAGTTGTTATGAGGAACACTGAGAAAAATGTATATCATGCACATCAAAGTAATACATAAATACGAGTTTCTAATACCCTAGTGAACAAAATATATTTTGAAAGGAAACATTAAGAGAAAACTGGAACAAGAGATAAGAAAGAATTTATTCACAAAACCTCTGAAAGTGATCTTGTAAAAGGAAAATGTACTGATTTTCATAAAGTAGTTAGGGGTAGATTTCAGAAGCTAGAAACCAGTAAGTCTGACGATACTCACCTGGAAAAACTTGAAAATGTAGTATGAAAACTTGAGGAAAAGGAAATTACTGGGACCCTGAAACTGATTCTCTAAAACAGGGGTCCCCATACCCTGGTTCCTGTTAGGAACTGGGCCACCACACAGGAGGAGATGAGCAGCAGGCAAGCAAGCGCAAGCGAAGCTTCATCTGTATTTACAGCTGTTCGCCATGGCTCACATTACTGCCTGAGCTCCACCTCCTGTCAGATCAGCAGCGGCATTAGATTCTCATGGGAGCACGAACCCTACTGTGAACTGAGCATGCAAGGGATCTAGGTTGTGTGCCCCTTATGAGAATCTAATGCCTGATGATCTGAGGTGGAGCTGAGGTGGTAATGCTAGCGCTGGTGAGTGGCTGCAAATAGAGATTAACATCAGCAGAGAGGTTTGACTGCACAGAGACCATAATAAATCAATTGCTTGCAGACTCATATCAAAACCCTATCAGTAAGTGGCAAGTGACAATTAAGCTACATTTGGTGGCAGGCTTTATAGTGACAGTGAGTTGATGTACATCAATGGTACAGCCGCATCTGGTGGAAGGCTTTAAGTCAGAATCTGACACTGATTTTAGTCCATGTGTAGCCCATCATTATTTTATTTACCACTTCCATCTATGCCTCTTTCCTGTACTGTGCACTTGTCTCAGTCACAGTTTTGGTAAGCCCACAAGCTAACTCTAGCAAAAATGAGTAAAAAATAAACATTACTGGAGAGCTTCTTTGAAAACAGGAAAAGACCCAATGGTGAAACAGCAGGGGACTCTAAGACTGCCAACAAAAAGAAATCTACACTTAAAATACCAAGAGTCCTACTTAAATTATGAGTTCATTGCAACAGGTGATTCACATTCTCCAAGCCACTTTGTACAATATTTGATGACTAGCTATCAAACGAAGCCATCAAACCTTCAACACTGCTTCGCCACATGGAGACCAAGCGCCCTGCGTTAAAACACAAGCCTTTGGAGTTCTTTAAATGAAAAAAATGTGAATATCAAGTACAGAAGCAATTACTGAAGGCCACCACTTCATCAAATGTGTCTGCACTGAGAGCATCATTCTTAGTAGCTAACGGCATTGCTAAAGCTGAGAAACCCTTTAATACTGGTGAAGAGTGATCCTGTTTGCTGTTAAGGACAACTGTCATGAACTTTCAAGAGAGGCTGCAGTTCAAAGGGTGGCATGTGTTCCTCTTTTGGCTAGCACCATAACTAGATGAATTGAGGAAATAGCAGAGGATCCTGAGGCACAATCGTTAGAGAGGATTAGTGAGTCACCGTGGTAGGCAATCCAGATTGACAAGTCTACCGATGTTGACAACAAGGCAACAGTGCTTGTTTTTGTGTGATATATTTTTCAGGAGGATATCCATGAAAATATGTTACATGTACTTCTGTTGCCAACCAACACCACAGCTGCAGAACTATTCACGTCTTTGAATGAATACATATCAGGAAAACTGAACTGATCATTTTGTGTTGGTATATGCAAGGATGGAGTGACTGCCATGACTGGACAGCTTTCTGGTTTCACTACTTGGGTCAAAGAGGTCATTTTTGAATGTTGAGTCTATGCAGTGTATCATCCATAGAGAAATGCTGGCTAGCTGCAAAATGTCACCTGAACTTAACAACGTTTTGCAGGATGTGATTAAAATTATCAACCACGTTAAAGTACATGCCCTTAACTCACGCCTGTTCACGCAACTCTGGGAGGTGATGGATGTAGAACACACACATCTTCTCTTACACACAGAAGTGAGATGGCTTTCTAAAGGTAGATCCCTGGCCAGAGTTTTTGAGTTATAAGAACCACTCCAGAGATTTCTCTTAGAAAAACAGTCACCAGTGGCAGCATATTTCAGTGACACACAATGGGTCACAAAACTTGCTCACTTGGCCAGGCATGGTGGCTCACGCCTGGAATCCCAGCACTTTGGGAGGCCAAGGTGGGTGGATCACCTGAGGTCAGGAGTTCGAGACCAACCTGGCCAACATGGTGAAACCCTGTCTCTACTAAAAATACAAAAATTAGCTGGGTGTGGTGGCGGGTGCCTGTAATCCCAGCTACTTGGGAGGCTGAGACAGAAGAACCACTTGAACCTGGGAGGCAGAGGTTGCAGTGAGCCAAGATCACACCACTGCACTGCAGCCTGGGCAACAAGAGCGAAACTCCATCTCAAAAAACAAACAAACAAAAAAAAAAAAACCTGCTCAATTGTGTGACATATTCAACCTGCTCAACAAACTCAATCTGTCATTTCGGGAGAGAATGACAACTGTGTTCAAGTCAGCAGATAAAGTGGCTGCATTCAAAGCCAAACTGGAACTATGAGGGCGATGAGTGAACATTGGGATTTCTGAAATGTTTCAAACATTAGCAGAGATTTTGAAAGAGACTAAGCCAGGGCCTTCCTTCTCCCAGCTGGTGCGTGATCACCTATCTCAGCTTTCAAAAGAGTTGAAGTATTACTTCCCAACCACAAAAGATCCCCAAACTGGAAAGGAATAGATCCACAACCCATTTGTGACTAAGCCAGGTGAACTGACTTTGTCCATGCTAGAATAGGATCAACTGCTTGAGATCGCAACACACTTTGTGTGTCACTGTCTCCCATCACCCCCAGATGAGACCATCTAGTTGCACGACAACGAGCTCAGGGCTTCCACTGATTCTACATTATGGTGAGTTGTATAATTATTTCATTATATATTACAATGTAATAATAATAGAAATAAAGTATACAATAAATGTAATGAGCTTGAATCGTCCCCACCCACCTCCTCCCCATCCGTGGAGGGGAGGTTTCTTCCATGAAACCAGTCCCTGGTGCCAAAAAGGTTGAGAACCACTGCTCTAAAACAAGTTAAAAGAAATATATATATATCTTTTTTTTTTTTTTAAACAGAGTCTCGTTCTTACTGCTCAGGCTGGAGTGCAATGGTGCAAGCTCAGCTACTGCAACCTCCACCTCCCGGGTTCAAGGGATTCTCCTGCCTCAACCTCCTAAGTAGCTGGGATTACAGAGGCCAGCCACCGTGCCCAGCTAATTTTTTGTATTTAGTCGAGACGGAGTTTCATCATGTTGGTCAGGCTGGTCTCGAACTCGTGACCTCAGGTGATCCACCCATCTTGGCCTCCCAAAGTGCTGGGATTACAGGTATGAGTCACCACGCCTGGCCAAGAATATTATTATATTCTATCTTAGTCTACTTGGGCTGCTATAACAAAATATCTTAGACTGCATAATTTACAAATAATAGAAATTTATTTCTCACATTTCTGGAGGCCTGGAAGTCTAAGATCAAGGCCCCATTAGATTCAGTGTCTGGTGAAGGTTCACTTTCTGCTTCATGGACAGTGCCTCTTGCTGCATTCTCACATGGCAGAAAAGTCCATACAGCTAGCTCCCTTGCACCCCTTTTATAAGGGCACTAATCCCATTCACAAGGATTAAGTCACCCTTGTGACTGAATCACCTCCTAAAGGCCCCACCTCTTAACACTATCACATTGGTGATTAACTTTCAACATATGAATTGGGGAGGACATCAGCATTCAGACCATAGCATATTCCACATCCTAATTGTGCTTTATTTATAAGATCACACTATTTCCTTCAAAGTACATTTTAAACATAAATAAATCTATTTCAAAATGCATCTTTACTAGTTACTTCAAAGACAAATTTAAAGTCTGTTTTAAACTAAAATATTAAAACATCATAAAATGCTTAAACAGAATGGTTAGAGTTGAGTTCATCTCAGAAACTGCACCTGATTGAGATGCTAGCCCCAAAAGCTACTCAGGTTAAATCATAAAAATTACTATTTACAACAGTATCAATTACTTTATTACTCAAATGCTTCCAGTTAACTCTAGTAGAGAAAGTATAAGGGAATATTTTGATTTTTGTAAACACAAAATAGCCTCATTCCAATGTCTTAATAAGTGTTCTTCAATATATGGCATAAATCTGTAAATTAAGAACAATACCTTTCTTACCCATCTAACAGGTCTGTTATGAAAACAGAATGAGATATATTATGTATGAATGTTTTAAGTAGTTATTGAGCCCTATAAAAGTGTTAGGCATTATTTAAGTCTATGTTTGGCTCTTCACTTTCAGACTGATAAATCAAAAATTACAAAAATTAGCAATCTAGGCCAGGTGTGGTGGGTAATCCCAGCACTTTGGGAGGCGGAGGCAGGCGGATCACGAGGTCAGGAGATCAAGGTCATCCTGGCTAACACGGTGAAACCCCGTCTCAACTAAAAATACAAAAAAATTAGCCAGGCGTGGTGGTGGGTGCATGTAATCCCAGTTACTCAGGAGGCTGAGGCAGGAGAATGGCGTGAACGCAGGAGGTGAAGATTGCAGTGAGCCGAGATCGTGCCACTGCACTCAAGCCTGGGCGACAGAGCAAGACTCCGTCTCAAAAAAAATAAAATAAAATAAAATAACAATCTATTAAGAAACTTTGAGCAAAGATTCATATTTAACTGAAGTAGTTCCTCCTTTAAAAAAAAAAAGTAATGTTTAATAATGGTTAATAACCTAAATAATGGAATCATAAGAAATCTTCCTACTATTATACTACTCTAGTGATTCTTCTTGTTTGTAGATACCTCAATGTGCATAAGAGTTCTGATTTACTGAACTAGGTATACTCTTTCATAGACTACCCACCTCCATAAGGCTATAGCATGTGTTCACTGAAGAAACCATTACTTTTAGTTGTGAACTATTAAAATGAGTAACGCTCCCTTTCAATGAGCAGTTTCTACTACAATAAAGAAAATAAAACATATATACCAATAAGAATACGACAAGTTAGATAATAAAAAAGCTCCATAAAAGAAATGTAAACAAAGTTTAATAGAAATTCAGAAAAGGGAAAGGTTATTTCTAGTCAGGAGGGAAAAGCAAGCAAAGAGATATCAAGAAAGACTCCAAGGAAGAAGTTCTATTTGTGCTGGGTACTAACGGATGAATAGGATTTTAAAACATCCCTAAATAAAATACATATTCCCCTGGAAGAAAAATGCTTCCAGTTTAGGGAAAAAACTCTCAGTAAATAGTACCAACATCCCTCTAGTTTTCATTCACCATTAAACCAAAATTTACCCTTCACACATCTCTCTATCTCTCCCAATATCTGCCTGCCCCCATATCCATTCCTCACCAAGTCTTATTAATATTAACCTTCAAAATATTTTTCAAAATCTGTCCACTTCTCTTTTCTCTACCATCTCCCTAGCCCAAATTATCACCATGTTTTACCCAGTCTACAAAGCAGCCTTCTGGCTGATCTCTCTGCTCCACAGGAATCTATTTTCTACACCACAACCAGAGTGGTCTTTTTGAAAATAAAGATACCAGGCATCACCTTCCAGACTCAAATCTTTGGCATAGCTATTTCTCTAGCCTTATACTATGCCATGTACCCTCTCACTATCTGTGCTCCAGCCTTTATTCAGAGTTCCTCAAAGCTGCCATGCTGGCTAACACCAGAACCTTTGCATGTGTTATCCCCTTCATCTGGAACACTCACCCACTACTAACTCCCACTACCTAGTTAACTCCTATTCACCCTTTTGGTCTTAGTACAAATGTCACTTCCTCCAGAAGGTCTTTCCTACTCTCCCACACTAAATTAGATCTCCCACACAAATAAATAAAATTGATGAACCAGACTGGGGACAAAACAGGGAAGACATAAACTAATATGAGGAATGAAAGAGGTAACATCATTAAGGATTCTAAGATAAGGAAATATTATGAACAATTTTATGTTAATACATTTGACAATTTAGACAAAATGGACATATTCCTTCAAAGACACAAACAATAAAAGCACACTCAAGAAGAAACAAATAATCTAAATAGCCCTATATCTATTAAGGAAATTGGATTTGAAGTGAATTACCCTCCAACAAAGAAAAGTCCGGGTGTAGATGGCTTATCTGATAAACTGTACCAAATATATAAGGAAGAAATAGTACTAATTCTACACAAACTCTTCCAGAAAGTGGAAAAAAAATTTATAATGTATACTACGAAGTCAGCATATTCTGAAACCAAAGACATAAGAAAACTAAAAACCAATATTCCTCATGAATATAGGTACAAAAATCTTAACATAATTTTAGCAAATCAAATCAACACAGAAAAAGAATAATAATACATCAAGACCAAATAAGGTTTATGCCAGGATTGTAAATTGGTTTAAAACTCAAAAATGGCTGGGCGCAGTGGCTCACGCCTGTAATCCCAGCCCTTTGGGAGGCCAAGGCGGGCGGATCACGAGGTCAGGAGATCGAGACCATCCTGGCTAACATGGTGAAACACCGTCTCTACTAAAAGATAGAAAAAATTAGCCGGGCGTGGTGGTGGGCGCCTGTAGTCCCAGCTACTAGGGAGGCTGAGGCAGGAGAATGGCATGAACCCAGGAGGCGGAGCTTGCAGTGAGCAGATATCCCGCCATTGCACTCCAGCCTGGGCAAAAGAGCGAGACTCCATCTCAAAGAAAAAAAAAAAAACCTCAAAAATCAAGGTTATTCACAATATTAATGAACAAAAAAGAAAAACCATACGGTCTTCTCCATAGATACAGGAAATGCATTTGACAAAAATCCAACATCCACTTCTAATTTAAAATTTAAAAAAGCTCTCAGAAACTAAAAATAGGAGGGAACATCTTTAAACTAATAAAGGAGATCTGTATTTTTTAACAAACAACAAAAAAACCTAAGGCTAACATCATACTTAAATGGCAAAAGACTGACTGCTTTTTACCTACGATCAGGTTGATGGCAAGGATGTCTACTCTCACCACTTCATTAAACATTATACTGGAAGTTCTAGCCAATGTAATCAAGCAAGAAATAAAAGGTATCCTGATTACAAAAAGAAGTAATCTATCTTTATTTGCAGACAATATGATCCTCCATTTAGAAAAGCCAATGGAATCCACAAAAAACAAAACAAAACAAAAAAAAACACTAGAAATAATAAATGAGTTTAGCAAGGTTGCAGGGTACAAGATAAAAAATGTAAAAAATTATTGTATGCCTATATACTAGCAACAAATAATTGGAAATTTAAAAATTTAAACCATACATTTATAATATTATCAAAAATTATGAAATACTTAAAGGTAAATCCAACAAAAGATGTATCAGATCTATATACTGAAATCTTTGTAGTAAAAAATCAAAGACAAACCACATGAAGAAATGTATTGTGCTCCCAGATTGAAAGACTTAATATTGTTAAGATAGTAACTCTCCCCAAAATTGATCTATAGATTTAACACAATCCCAATCAAAATCTTGCAGGCTTTTTTTCTGTAAAAGTGACAAAGTGATTCTAAAATTTCCGCCCAGGTGTGGTGGCTCACAGCTATAATCCCAGCACGTTTGGAGGCGAAGGTTGGGGGATTGCTTGAGGCCAGGAGTTTCAGACCAGCCTGGGCAATACAGCAAGACTCTGCCTCTACACACACACACACACACACACACACACACACACACACACACACACACACACACTCGCAGGCATGCATGCCCACACACATACACATACACAAAATCAGCCTGGTATGGTGATGCATGCCTGCAGTCCTAGCTACTAAGGAATCTGAGGTGGGAAGATTGCTTGAGCCCAGGAGTTCAAAGCTACAGTAATGATCACACAACTGAGCTCCAGCCTGGGTGACAGAACAAGACCTATGGGCATGCAAATGATCTAGAGTAGTCAAAGTAACTTTGAAAAAAAAAAAGTCAGGGTTGTATATCTCACCTCAATTTATCATTAATCTATAGTAATCAAAACAGTATGCTTGTAAATCAAGATAGACAACAGACCGATGGAATTGAATAGTCCAGATATAAACCCACACATATATTACATTTTCAACAAAGATACAAAGGCACCTGAGTGCTCAAAGGATAGTTTTTTCAACAAATGGTGCTATTTGATATCCATTTAAAAAAAGAAGAATTTCAATTCTTATTCTTTACCACACACAAAAATACAATCAAAATGGATGATAGGACAAAAACTATAAAACTTTCAATGAAAAAAATAGAAGAAAATCTTTGTGAAATTGGGCTAGACCATGATTTCTTTTTTTTCTTTTTTTTCTTTTACTATTATACTTTAAGTTTTAGGGTACATGTGCACATTGTGCAGGTTAGTTACATATGTATACATGTGCCATGCTGGTGTGCTGCACCCACTAACTCGTCATCTAGCATTAGGTATATCTCCCAAAGCTATCCCTCCCCCCTCCTCCCTCCCCCCACCCCACAACAGTCCCCAGAGTGTGATGTTCCCCTTCCTGTGTCCATGTGATCTCATTGTTCAATTCCCACCTATGAGTGAGAATATGCAGTGTTTGGTTTTTTGTTCTTGCGATAGTTTACTGAGAATGATGATTTCCAATTTCATCCACGTCCCTACAAAGGACATGAACTCATCATTTTTCATGATTTCTTTTTTCCTTTTTTTTGAGATGGAGTCTCGCTCTGTCACCCAGGCGGGAGTGCAGTGTCGCGATCCTGGCTCACTGCAACCTCCACCTCCCGGGTTCAAGCAATTCTCCTGCCTCAGCCTCCTGAGTAGTTGAGATTACAGGCACACACCACCACGCCCAGCTAACTTTTGTATTTTTAGTAGAGACGGGGTTTCACCATATTAGTCAGGCTGGTCTCGAACTCCTGACCTCGTGATCCACCCGCCTTGGCCTCCCAAAGTGCTAGGATTACAGGCATGAGCCACCGTGCCCAGCTGACAATGATTTCTTAAATAAAATAGCAAAAGTACAATCCACGAAAGCAAAAGAAAATAGGGATAAATCAACCTCATCAAAATTAAGAATTTTAATTCTTTGAAAGGTTTAAGAGAATAAGACCAGCCACAGAATGAGGAAAAAATAATTACAGATCACATATCTGACAAAGGACATATCCAAAATATATGAGGACTTCATACAATAAATAAGAAAAAATCAATTTTAAAATTGACAAAAGAGGCCAGGAGCGGTAGCTCACATCTGTAATTCCAGCACTTTGGGAGGTGGAGGCAGGCAGATCACCTGAGGTCAGGAGTTCAAGACCAGCCTGGCCAACATGGTGAAACTCTGTCTCTACAAAAATACAAAAATTAGCCAGGCATGATGGCAGGTGCCTGTAATCCCAGCTACTCGGGAGGCTGAGGTGGGAGAATCGCTTGAACCCGGGAGGCGGAGGTTGCAGTGAGCTGAAATCATGCCATCGCACTACAACCTGGGTGACAAAGCAAGACTCCATCTTAAAACAAAATAAAATAAAATAGACAAAAGATTGAACATTTTACTAAAGATACATGAATATCCAATAAGCATATGAAAAGCTGCTCAACATTATTAGTCATTGAATAAATTGAAACCACAATGGCTATCACTGCACACCTCTTGAAATGGCTAAAATTAAGTATTGATGAGGATGTGGAAATGGAACTTACATACACTGCTGGTAGGAAAACATGGAAATGGAACCTACGTACACTGCTGGTAGGAAAATGTGATAATGGAACCTGCCACACACTGCTAGTGGGAAAACGGTACAACCACTTAGGAAAACAATTCAGCAGTTTCTTAAAATATTAAACAAGGTCAGGCATGGTGGCTCATGCACGTAATCCTAGCACTTTGGGAGGCCAAGGCAGGAGGATCACTTGAGCCCAGGAGTTTGAGATAAGCCTGGGCAACATGGCAAAACCCTGTCTCTACAAAAAAATACAAATTAGCCAGGTGTGGTGGTGTGCGCAAAGACTAGTACACAAATGTTCACAACAACTTTATCTGTCATAGTCAAAAACTAAAAACAACTCAAATGTTCATCAAAAGGCGAGCTGGCAAACAATTGTAGAATATCGATGGGATACTATCAGCAATACAAAGGAATTAACTATTGATACATGCAACAACATGGATGAATCTCAAAATATGCTGAAAGAAGCCAAACAAAAAATTAGTATATATCATACAATTCCACTTACAGTTGACCTTCCATAAATTCCACATCCATGGATTGAACCAACTGCAAATCAAAAATATTCCGTAAAAAGAAAAAAACACAACTATAAAAAATGTAGAATACAAATTTTAAAAAACAATACAGTATGGCCGGGTGCAGTGGCTCAATCCTGTAATCCCAGCAAATCCCAAATTTGGGAGGCTGAGGCAGACGGATTGCCTGAGCTCAGGAGTTCGAGATCAGCCTGGGAAACATGGTGAAACCCCATCTCTACTAAAAATACAAAAAATTAGCCAGGCATAGTAGTGTGTGCCTTAATCCCAGCTACTCAGGAGGCTGAGGCATGAGAATACCTTGAACCTGGAAGGTGGAGTTTGCAGTATACATACATATATATATATATATGTATACACTATATATAGTGTATATAGTGTATATATACAGTATATATAGCATATATATACTACATATGCTATATATACTATATATACACTGTATATATAGTATATATAGCATATATATACACTATATATGCTATATATACTATATATACACTGTATAAATATAGTATAAAAACTATTCACATAGAATTTACATTGTATTAGCTATTTTATGTAATCTAGGAATGGTTTAAAGTATATGGAAGGATAAGCCTAAACTATATGCAAATAGAATGCCATTTTATATATGGAACTTCAGCATCTGAGGATTTTGGTATCTGTTGGGACCCTGGAACCAATCCCCTGGTAAATAATGAGGGATTAATGTCCATAAAATTCTTGAAAATCCAAACTAATCTATACAGATAGAAAGCAGATTAGTAGCTGTCTAGTGTTAGGCTGGGGAAAGGGGGGAATTACAAAGGGATGCAAAGAAACTTTTTAGACAAAGTAAGTGTTCATTTTCTTGCTTGTGGTAATGGTTTCATGGTTACTTATTTCAAATACATCAAATTACACTTTAAAGATGTGTAGTTTGTTGTTGCAATTTTCTTATTGAATCCGGTTTTTCGTTTGTTTGCTTTAGAGATGGTGTCTCACTCTGTAGCTCAGGCTGAAGTGTAGTAGCAGGATCACAGTTCACTGTAGACTTGAACTCCTGGGTTTAAGCAATCCTCCTGCTTCAGCCTCCCAAGTAGCTAGGACTACAAGTGCGGGCCACAACACCTGGCTAATTTATTTTTTGTAGAGGCAGGTTTTCACTATGTTGCCCAGGCTGGTCTCCAACTCCTGGCCTCAAGAGATTCTCCCACCTTAGCCTCCCAAAACACCAGGATTATAGACGTCAGCCAACCATGCCTCGCCTAAATCTGGTTTCTAAAAAGATATATGAATTGGTCAGAATGAAATACTGTAATTCACTTCCCATTGCTAAACTGGCCAAAACAGAATCACAGATTTTTAAGAACTGCAACCTATTTGTAAGAAATGGAGTTAAATTTCAAAACTGATTCACAGTTTTGTGTGTATGAATCATACTTTAAGTTTCTGAGTCCTTGAAATACAAACCCTGGGATATAAATTATGAATTATAAAGCATATGTACCATAAGTATAGTCAGGCTCAAGAGGAACTTAGAGAAAGAGAACTAGGCTCACTAGGAGCCCACAGTGTTCCTGAGCTTTTAGAAAAGAACATGTGAAGGTGAGTAGAGAAGCATGCACCTATAATCCCAGCTCCCTGGGAGACTGAGGCAAGAGAATTCCTTGACTTCAGGAGTTTAAGACCAGCCTGGGCAAAACAGTAAGACCCTCATCTAGGAAAAAAAAACAAAACAAAAAACTGTGAATTCTATCAATGTCCTAAAATATCTCCTGTAGGGCTAAGCTCTGAGCAATGTTTTAACTGACCTGCTTCTGTGAAAGTGAATTCTCTTTCCTAGAATTACTAATATTAAAGTAGAGAGCCACCTGAATAAATCCTGGAGTAAATAAAGCTATGTCCCAGATGAATACAACTTGTGGTTCTTAAGATTGTGTGATTTCTTAACTATCAGTAGTCTCACTGGCTTGATCAAACATAAGTAATAGGCATAGAAAGACATGCTTTTATAGAAAAAAAGTCCATATTTTATATTACTGCTAAAAATACATGAATTTTAGAGAGCTAACAGACTTTAACCTTTTTTAAATACAAAACTATTCAAATGGCTCACCCACATAGAGCTTCCTCATGTTATCTACGGTTAATAAAACTTATACAACTCGATGAAAATATTCTGTAAATTATGACATCCAAAGCGTATCAAGCATAACAATGTCATTATTTTATAGTCATGGTGCTAATATAAAACTCACAGGTAAACTACAGGATTGGGATACAAATTAACAAACATCATACTGAATACTTTTTATAATAACTATTTGCATTCTTTATTTGTGAGAAGTCAAATTATATAGTGATTAAGAGCACAGATTTGAGAGGAACTGTCTAGATTCAAATCCCGCATCAGCCACTTGCTTTCTGTATAATGTTGGACAAGTTCCTCTACATCTTTATGCCTCTAATTCCTCATCTATAAAATGAGAAAAACAATAGTATTTACCTGATAGTGTAGTTATAAAGATTAAATAAGTTAACAGGCATAAAGCACTTAGAACTGTGCCAGGTTCACAGCAAACACTCAACAAGTTTTCTCATTATCATCATTATCATCATGCTCATGACTGTCACAGTTACCAGAGTTAAGATTAATATGTAGAATAATTAACACCATCAGTGACAATCTAAAAAATACCAATACATCTACTGAGAATTCATGCAAAAAAGAGGACTTGAATAGACATGTCTCCAAAGAAGATATACAAATGGCCAATAAGCAATAAAAATATGCTCAATATCATTAATCATTATGTAAATACAAATAAAAACCACAATGGGATATCACTTCACACCTACTAGGATGGTTAAACCAAAAATGAATAATAAATGTTGGTAAGGAAGTGGAGTAACTGGAACCCTCGTGCATTGCTGGTAAGGATGTAAAAGGGTACATACAGCTGCTGTACCAAAACAGTCTGGCAGTTTCTCAAAAGGCTAAACATAGAACAACCATACACCCAGCATTTCCACCCCTAGGTATATAAGAATGGAAAGCAGAGACTCAAACAGATATTTGTATACCAAAGCTCATAGCAGCATTATTCAAAACAGACAAAATGTGGAAACAACCCAAATGTCCATCAACAAATGAATGGATAAAAAATATAGTTTATACATACAATGGAATATTTATTTAGCCATAAAAAATGAAATTTTTATACATGTTACAAGAATGGACCTTGAAGCCATTATGCTTAGTGAATAAGTCAGACACAGGAGGACAAATGTATGATTTCACCTATATGAGGTACCTAGAATAGGCAAATTCAGGGAGACAGAAAGAATAGAGGTTACCAGCTGCTAAGAGGAGGGGAAAGGGAGAGTCATTGTTTAATGGGAAGTTTGAAGATGATGAAAACATTTGGGGTATAGGTAGTGGTGATGGTTACACAACATTATGAATGTATTTAATATCATTAAATTGTATACTTATTAAATATAGCAAACTTAAAATGAAAATTTGCTATATTTACCATAATAAAAAAAACACAAAATAATTTATTGGTTACTCTATCTAGCATCCTCACTTTTATTCCTGCAGTTCACCAAAGAACTCAATATCTGTTACTATCCACATGGGTCTCAAAGAGGCAGAGAAGATAGGATAAGACATACTGTTAAATTCTAAGACAACTTAGAAAAGCACAAAAATGCTTGTAATACATTTTAACACAAATATGTTAAAACAGTAAATGTGAACTTCAATAATAGAGGGTAATATTTCAAAAGAAACTACTGGATTGGGAGTCAAATAGTAATCATCTCACATCACCAAGAATCGTTAGGAGTCACTAACTTTTTCACAATTATTTCCCTGATAAAATGGAGAAATGACTTATCATGTTTAATAAGTTTGTTGACAGAAAAAAATGCAAGGTTTTTCAAGATTGTAGGGAAAAAGCAACTCTGTAAAAACATATAATTTCATACAATATGCTCACAGGTAAACAGAATAATATTACTGGATATATATGAGGAAATTTATTATGCTAGTTAAGCTACAGGAAAAGAAAGATGATCAGCTAATAGATATTACAAAGTCAAGCCTCTCTCAAGGTGACACTCTGGCATGACAATCTCAGTATAGACCAAAACTACAACCTAAAATGCAAATAACTGAAAATGTTCTCTTAAGCTTATTTTGGTTGAACTTGCAAAAGAATGACTGAAGACTTTCTGACCTGAACAAAACAGGAAGAAATCGACTGTATCTGGGGTATCTTTCTATTTCAATAGAAATCACCATATGATACCATTTTTTCTTAATCATGTTATCAAGCTAGATTCAAAAACAGGAATATAAATTTTATTTTCTATAAAAAGGAAAACCATGAAGTCTTTATAAAACTAGACAACATTAAAAGCAAAGTCATTGTTTTAGACATTACAACATATCTTTCGTTACTTGGTAGCTACTGTACTGACCATCTTATTCAAGGTCCATACGTTGATACAGAGTAATCAGCAACCACTTGGACAAAAAGCAGCCATTTCAAAATAGGAACATGCAACAGAAAGGCCTTGGGTTTCCTCACTCAAGGGCAGTCTTGAAATTTACAAATACACATAAAGTTGTACACAGTCAAGCCTAAGGGAACCATGGAGGGAAATCTAGGAATTGTGGATATGCTATACTTCAGCACAAACTGGAACATGCAAATATAGATTATAGCCAGGCAAAGAGATTTTTTATGCTGTCAGTCACTACCCTGGAGATAGTGTACATGCTATCCTTTTTGGAAAATTATTACATAAAATATGACATTAAAAAAATTTCATTACAAGAACAGAAAAACAAAACAAGAATAATCTTCACCTTGTCAGTGTATCCCTCAGAGCAACAGAGTTATAGATTAACTCCTAACAATAATGTTGTCATCTACAGCGATTTCATGTTTCCATGAACTAAATTAGTAAAATGCTTTAAAACTACAATTGATTTTTACTGAGTTCAAAAAGAAAACGTGGCTGGGTACAGCAGCTCATGCCTATAATCACAGCACTTTGGAAGGCTGGGGCAAGAGGATTGCTTGAGCTTAGAAGTTCAAAACCAGCCTGGGCAACACAGTGAGACCTCGTCTCTACAAAAAGTAAACAAAAAACTAGCTGGGCGCAGTGGTGCACACCTGAAGTAGCACCTACTTGGTGGGAGGATCCCTTGAGCCTGGGAGGTCCAGGCTACAGTGAGCCAAGATAGAGCCACAGCACTCCAGCCTGAGTGACAGAACAAGACTCCGTCTCAAAAAAAAAAAAAAGAACCCCAAAAAACAAAAAGAGAATGTGTCTAGTAATTTCATACACTTCAAAAACTGACAAAAATACTGCCATACTTTCCCACTGTATCATATCCTTCATATGTCTTCATTATTTAGTACTTATTTATGGAGCAAGATATTTGCATATTCTATCCTGCCCGAATTAAACAAATTTTCCTACAAACCTCCAGAGTATTAACTGGATAAGGGATTATTTTTTCATTTCACTTTCAAACTACTTTAAGTCATTGTTAAAAGTTAAAAACAGTTTGTTCTTTTTCTAAGTTTGCTCCTTTCTGGCCTAGCAAGACAAGCTTATGCTTATGTATTACATGCTAAACAGCTAAATGGTAAAAGAAAATTTGGTTAACTTTGTTAACGGTCTATATAAAATATGATTTTTTCCATAGTCTTATTCCTATTCCTGCCATTATTTTTTCTGAAGAAAAGATTTTAAATTACTTTAATCATTAATATTAGTTCTTGTTGCCATTACTTGGATTTGGCTTTGTTTAACATTATGAAAAACTTTCCTCAGAACATACCTAAATTAATCCCATGCTATAAAACTGGGTCATTAACACAGTATTATATAAGACATACAACTCAATCACTCATCCAGGTAAAACTAAATGAAACTATATTCAAATCATGTTCAAAATAACTTTCATGAATGTCAACTCCTTCTAGCTGAGATAAAAGTTACCAACTGTGTGCTTCTTAGAATACCTAAAACATATGTCTGCATCAAGTTATTTCAGTTGGAGGGTCTGACATAATACAAGTAAGGTCACGGTCATGGATTTGACCTTTAGCAGACCAATTGCTTTGAGTCTATACTCCCGCCCTTCCCTCATTCACTTGGAAATATGCCATTAATAAAAAGGAGTACCATTTAAACAACAACTAAGTTTTTGAAGGACAGTCTTAAAGGCATAAAGACTCAAGGCATTTAATATGTGCTAAGTAACGTTTAAGGTATTATATAAAATTTATGTAAAAAGATTTTAATACATTGAAAGTAGCAACACAGCAGTAGAACTTAAAATTATGAGCCATATTTCACATACTAGAGGCAGGAATTACTTTCCAGGAAGGTTTCACCAATTTCGCACTAAATCTCAGGCCTTTAAAAACATTTCATACTCTTCTAGGAATTCAGCATAAGAAAACATTCAGAAGTTTGGATCAAAGATTTGTGCACAAAGACAAATCAGTAAAGTGTTAAACTTTTTGAAAAATGTTAACATCTAAAATAGAATAATGGTTAAATAATGTTAGTCATTAAAAATTGTATTTTCATATTATAAAGTCTCAACAATAAAGCTGTGTGATACTGGCACATGAATATAAACAGACCAATAGAACAGAATAGAAAATCTTGAAATAACCCAAAATATAAATGGCAATCTTGTATAGAATAAAGAAGTCTTCTTAAATCAGTGCGAAAAAGCTGGTTTCTTCAACAAATGATGGTAGGACAACTGGAAAGCCATCTTTCAAAAAATGAAATTGGATCCATATCTCATATTTAATACCAGACTGGATTAAAGATTTGAATGTAAAAAATAAAACCAACGAAGTACTAGATAAACCAAGAGAGAATTATTTCATAACCTCAGAACAGGAAAGCCCACTCTTTTTTTTGTCCCCCAAGGGTATTTAGGTACTTAGTGTATGTAGAGGGGGAAAAAAAAAGAATGGGCTTTCCTATTCTGAGGTTACAAAATAAAGGTCCAGAGAACTCCCAGGAAAGCCCATTCTAACATAAAATACATTCTGACATAAAACCAAAAAGCCATAAAAGAAAAATCCGATACATTCAATTGTGTAAGAATCATTTCTTCATAAGGGTGGGGGGAATACCATAAGAAAAATGAAAATACTGGCAACTGTTGCAGATAAAGGGTTCTTTACTTAAATACTAAGAGTTCCTTAGTATGCTTTGCTTAATATACTAATAGTTCCTACAAATCACTAAGAAAAAGATCCAAGAACCCAATAAAAATGGGCAAAAGGTATGTACAGTTCACAGAAAAGGTTATATTTAAATGACTCTTAAAAATGAAAAGATGTTCAATCACACTTAATGTAAAAGATATTAAAAAAAATTAAATTAAGACACCATTTTTACCTTTCAGATTGTCTGATCCAAAATTTCGTGATAATTCATTATGTGTGGGGAGACAGGCACTCTCATATATTGCGGGCGAAGTACAGACAGGTAGGGCAATTTGGCAATATCTTTCAAAATTACAAATACACGTACCTTTGACCTAGCAATTCTATGTATTTTTCTTACAGATATGCTCATACACAAGCAAAATGGCTTATACTCAAGATCATTCACTGCAAAATCACTTGAACTAGCAAAACTTGGGGAATAATTAAATGAGTTATGATTAATTCAGGCATTATGCAGCCATAAAAAGAATGAGGTACCTCTTTACAAAATGAAAGGAAAATATATCTGAGATACATTAATAAGTGAGGGGCGGGGGGAAGAAAGAAGAAGCAATCTCAAAGTGCAGATAAAAATCAGTTCTAATGGGTTATCATACGTGTAAAAATAGAGAAAAATGCATATATACAGTAAAAACCTATGATATCATTTCAGATATAAAGCAATTTACCGGCTCCAGACCCCCAGAACTCATGGCCAACTTCATTTGCAGGTTTGTTCTGGTCATTTCACTAACCTCACAGAAATATAACCCTGAATTTTTTGTAAACTAGATTTCTTGGATCCCACTTATGGCAGGATTTTTACATATCTATCTATCTCTACATTTGCTTCTATGCACGTGGAATAGGTATGGAAAGATACATAACAATTTCAAGTATTTATTGATTGGGAAGAGGGACCATGCCTGCCAGATGGCAAGTTGTAGAGGCAGGGAGGAAGAGTAAGAGAGAGCTCATGGAATATCTTTTTATACTCTGAATTTTGGAACAAAGGAATATATTACCTATTTTTTAAAATAAATAACATATTTAAAAAAATGTGTTAATGTTTTCAATAACATGAGAAAATACACTTAAGAGAAAAAAAGTAGAATGTAAAATATATGCAGTTTGATACCAAATATGTATTAATACAAAAAAATCTGTACACAAAAAAGACTGGAATAAAACACAATAAAATATTAAAAGAATAATTATCTCAGCCAGGTGTGGTAGCACACTCCTGTAGTCCCAGTTATTCGGGAGGCTGAGGTGGAAGGATCCCCTGAACCCAGGCAATGGATAATATGTAAGCTATGATTGCGCCACTGCACTCCAACCTGGGCATGAGCTATGATTGCGCCACTGCACTCCAACCTTGGCAACAGAATGAGACCCCGTCTCTAAAATATAATATTTAAAAAAAAATGATAGTTATCTCTAAGAGGTAGAATTACAAATGATTTTAATTTTGGCTTTTCCTAAAATTCTAATTCTTTATGTTAAGCACAAATTATATTCATAATCAGAAAAAGGGTATTAATTTTTAATGACAGGAATCAGAGGTTAGAAATTCAAGTGGAAGGTACAAAGTTATTAGGTATTATTCAGGGTTCTAAGCATCATATATGAAATTCAAATTTCCTTCAGACATCACTTCCAATCACAGCACCAAAAAAAGTATGCATAATAAGCTTAGGAAAAATATGAAAAAAAAAATCTCATCTGTCCTCTGGTCTATCTCTTAAGGATTACTATGAAATTATTTTCATCCTCCTACTTTATGGATGTTTTGTCCATTTTTGTTTTCTGTTACCTAGGTAATGGTATTTCCAGCATTTCCCTTAAAAGACTGTGAAACTAACAATCTGGTATTTCTCACTGTCGAGTTTTCCTGACCTTCAGCTTTGAGAGGCCATCTCCCTAAGGGAAGGCAGCAAGATCTAGAAGCTAAATCAGGAGGCTAAGGAATCTGAGGTTAAGAGTTCCAATCCTGACAAACTGTGGAGTCTGTCTCCAATTTTGGGAATAAGCTAAACTTCCTGAGCCAGTTTCTTCAATGAGAAAACCTAAAGGATTGCTTTGAAAAATATCAAAAACTATTGACTTTAAGGTTTCATTTTAACTTTTCAGACTACTCTTCCGAATTTTGTTATCTTATCTATGTTGAATGTTTTCCCCTCACTAAATTTTCACTCTCTCAATCAATATCTATAAGTATTACCAATCCCTTAGACTCAGGGATGGAGGTAAGGGGTACTTTTAGAAAGTCTGCTACAAGTGACACAATGTGAATGGAACTCGAGCAATGTTGAAGATAATTTATGGAGGGGTAAAAATACAATCAGGATCTAAACTGAACCCTTATGAGCAAAGCCAACAAAGACAATTAATTGATGTTACTAACACCTGGTAAGGGAAGGTAAAATTCAGACAGCTCATATCTGAACCCAGCTGTAGAGATTAGGAAAGTGATAACTTCTGTATCATAGTCTAGCAAATGAAATGTTTTTATGCCTTTAAGGGTTCAATTTTTATTTCTTTTGTTTACTGTATACTCACTAACACCACTGCACTGGGCCTCAAGACTTCTCTTTTCCCTTCTACTTGTGAACCACATTACTTCTTGATGGGCTGCCCTCTCACTATAAAATAAACTACATGAAATTTGCAAAAGGGTTTTCTACATGCTAGCCTTAAGAAGTACTTGACAGCCTTTGGGAAGAAAGGTGTTTTTACAAACATCAGACAGCAATTATCCCTCTACCAAGATAGGGTGAAGCAATTTTAGCAGTGCCCTTAGCACACTTCAAACTCCTCCTCCTGGTTAACAAGACCAAACAACTCTCTAGTTAGTTAAAAGTTTTTCCAATAGGGAGGGACAAGGGAGCAAACAGCTGAAGTTTTTCTGAATTAACTGTCATTAGTTGAATGCTTTTTTGTGGTTCACCTACTTAAAAGGTGATCAAATCACTTTGTGCTACTGAAGAAAGCAACTGCAAAGAACAATTACATAAACCCTCTATTTCAACTTACCTCATCCTTCCTTCTAATGAAACAAAGGATCCGAAACCACTACCTTGCCACCATTTCCTTAATAATCTTGGTAAAGCCTACTATGTCATGTGAATCTCTTTTCTTTTTCTTAGCAAACCACAGAAATTTCACTCACTATAGTAGGAAACACAACTGTACAACTTTTTTTTTTTTTTTTTATTTGAGACTGAGTCTCGCTCTGTTGCCCAGGCTGGAGTGCAGTGGCACGATCTCAGCTAGCTGCAACCTCTCCCTCCTGGGCTCAAGCGATTCTCGTGCCTCAGCATCCCGAGTAGCTGGGATTACAGATGTGCCACCATGCCCTGCTAATTTTTTTTTTTTTTTGTATTTATAGTAGAGACAAGGTTTCACCATGTTGGCCAGGCTGGTCTCAAACTCCTTACCTCAGGTGATCCGCCCACCTTGGCCTCCTAAAGTGCTGGAATTATGGGCATAAGCCACCGCGCCCGGCCCATTTTTAAAAATGTGTTCAGTAAATGTTATTATCTGAAAAAGATAAAGGATATCCACACAAACTATTCTTAAAGAGGGGTGTTCTAGAACTTTGTATTATTTATGTCTGAAGATTTGTACAGATCCTCAATTCCATATCTGCAATTCCTAAATCAAAAAAGCTCTGAAAAGCAAAAGACTGTATGCAACTTTTCTGGCAGTAAAGTCTGACCTGCACTGACATAAGGCTATTTATAGTCTTTATACCACTTGGTATGATTTTGTTTTTTTTTTGAGATAGTCTCACTCTGTCACCCAGGCTGCAGTGCAACGGTGGAATCACAGCTCACTGCAATCTCCCCCTCCCTGGTTCAAGCGATTCTCCTGCCTCAGCCTCCCAAGTAGCTGGGATTACAGGTGCATGCCACCACACCCGGCTAATTTCTTTGTACTTTAGTAGAAACGGGGTTTCACCATGTTGGCCAGGCTGGTCTTGAACTCCTGACCTCAAGTGATCCACCTGCCTCGGCCTCCCAAAGTGCTGGGATTACAGGCGTGAGCCACCACGCCCGGCCTATTCACTTGTTTAACTGCAGAAATATTAACATAACTGTCTAGTCCAAATGGTTTTGGAAAAGAGATTGTGGATGTATAATTCTATTCCTTAAAAATATTTTCACTGTTTGAAAATCAAATAGCAGTGAACCAACATGATAGAGGGTAGAACAATACTAAGATGTTATAAATGAAACTATCACCTACATTAATAGAGCACACAATTTAAATAAGACATACAAATTTTCTCTCAAAAGAAGAAAAAAGGGGGCTATTTAAAGTCACTTAAACAGTACATGCCTAGGCATTCTTAGAAGTTCTCTCTGATTTCAATGAAAAACTGTCTATTCTTAATGTGTTTTAATGTATTTGGAAATCATTGGAAACTAATACATCAACAAGCCTATGCCACATCCTAAGTATTGAACTCAAGCTTAAGATTCCAAAAATTTCTAAAATATGACTACTCAGGTGTAAAGATTCAATTAACAGTACCTGAGGAAATTAAGACATTTAAGGAACATGAACATGTTTGGGGATGTATTTTATACACACTCACTGATTTTCTTCTAGCCATACTAGTTGCAACATTTTAAATAAATTTAGAGACATAACCTCTAGAAACGTAACTTTTAAAAATCTCATCCTGTGTCTTAATTGGTGAGGCGTAAGCAGTATCATATAATACAACCAGATATGACTTCTGTCTCATCAGCTCATATTCACTTCTTGAATATGAACTTCTATTAATTCTTACCGAATTCCCACTGCCACATTTCTGGAATTATAAGGTACTTAATGAAGTATGATTAATTCCCTTTTTCTTCTGTTTGCTTAAATAGTACTAGCCCTTTGAAATTTTCCAGCAGGTCCCTATGTTGTTATCAATAAACAATGAGCTGTATACAAGCTTAATGGTAATAATGTTGATGCTATTCATTTTCTTAACAGAATATTTTACCTAATTCCTTCTGATAATATTAAAATTTAAAAGTACAAGATTTCTTGTTGATCCCTTTCTTGTGCTGATTATATTTCCCTTCTAACTCTCCAAGAGCATATCTGAGCACATACTTGCAGACCTGTCATACTGATGAGTGCAGAGCTCCACCGCAGGCAATCCTAGAGATTGGGATCTTAAATTTCTCCCAGAGTGTCCTACACTCCCCATCCATTCATGGTAAAGTATTTAATTTTAATGTTCTCATTGTTTACCAGAAAGCACAGACAGTGAGGCTGGCTTTGCCACTCCCGTTTCCTTTCGCTATGCTGCTGAGCTTTTTCAGCCAATTGACTTTGCTTTGAGGCTATAAATATCTGAAAAATGTTCTGCATTTGATGCTCTTGGATTCTGTATCCATATTTAGCTGTTTGTGGCATGCCTTTGTTTAAGCTACTCTACCACCCATACAGTCAGTCAGGTTGAGATCTGGATGGTCAAAGGACAAACGGATCAACATACAACAGACACTGACTTACTATGAGCAAGGTACCAATCTGGCAGACAAGTTGACAATGAAGGGGGTGGCAAGATAAGAATACAAAGATAAACAAGGCTCCCTGATATCAAAAATTTTATAGTCTTGACAAGGCATGGGCACAACTTATAATACTGGAATAAAACAAATGAAACATTTTACAACTACAAGGAAATGAAGATTAGGACAGACAGCACAAATATTTTTCTCTCAGCCACATCTCAAAAATGTGCATTAGTTTGTGTTCTAAATATAGAGCCACCTATTATAAAGCTCTGAACATATTCCAGAAAAGTTTTCCAAATCATGGCAATACACAAAACCCTGAGTATACGTATTATGACAATATATACATATGTACACAATATATATGTATTATCAACCAAGGAGCCAAACCTGTCAACAAGAAACTCAAAACAGTGCCTAGTCTTCAAATTTTGTGAGGCAAACTAATAAAATATTGTTTCTAGAAGTTCCTGTTAAGATATTCTTTGGGGGGTTACTTCTGTTGTTGTTTGTTCCCATCATGATTTCAAACAGAAGTATATTGCAGGAGATGCAAATTGCACTTAATAAAGTTCCTTATTATTATCCTACCTTTAGAACCCACATGGCTATGTAGGTTAGGTCTCAAAACTGGATGAACTAGACCTAAGCAACATCGCCATACTCATCTTCCTATCTTGTGAAAACATTCCAAATAAATAAACATCTGCCTTCAATATATCTTCTTTGAAAACTCAGTTCACTGACCTTTTGATAAAACTGCTCCCCAGAATTCCCTGACAATCATGATTTAAATGCATTAAGTTAAGGGCTTGGTTAATGCCTGGCCCCAAGAGCCAGGATAAAGATTATAGGCCAACCTGCAGGTAAAATAATGGGCCAAGCCACAGAATCAGACAACTTTAAAGCTAAAAGGGACCACAGATACCAATTACTCCAGATTCCACTTTTATGCTGAAACCTAGAGGCCATGAGTTAAAACTACCTGCCCAGAATTAGACAACCAACTTGTGGCAAAGCCAGAATGAAACCAATACTCTAAGCTTCTAGTTGTATCCTCTAGACTAGGTTCCCAATTTGTAGATTTCCCTGAAACATGTTAGACTACACTCATCAAAGTCTCTTTAAATTGTGAGAAGAACCTAGGTGATCCAAGACAACGAAGGTTTTGAACACACAGACAAGAAACAAGAAAAACAAAAATTCTGTATTCTCCAAATTGTTTTTCTACATTCTATTACTTTTATTTCAAAGTTTTTACTTCAAAGTTTTCAAACATACACCCTGTTCATACAATAGGCAACTTAAAACTAGCTAAGGACATAGCCAAGAGTCATTCCAATAGTTCTGAAATATTTACATAAACTAAAGACAACAAAATAGTATCCAGGATGAGCTGCCTCAGAGGAAGGAAAGTAGCAATACTAAACAATAAATAAAAACAACTTCTGGTTAATTGATAGAGAAAACAAAAAAAGTTACAATGCAGTGGTAAGTCTGCAATTGGTCACAAAAATGCAAGGCATGGTATGTATATGTGTGTGTCACACACATATACATACCATGCATTTCTGTGATGTCTGATATGAAGTCTTGACATCAATTGAACCACGCAGAAAGAAAACTTCTAAGTCGTGGTCACTCTTGAACAATAAACATATATCCTGTTCAGAAGGACGAAAGAAAAAAAACATAATGTAAACTTGCTCTCACTCTCTCTCTCTCTTACACACACACACACACACACACAAAATATACAATATATATTTCACAAATCAACCCCTAGGAATGGACTACAAAACAACATACATTTGTAGACTTTTATGTCCTTACAAATGAAGAACGATAGTTAACACTAGGTCCAGAGAACCCAGATTGTTTTGGATACTGAAATACCGAATTATCATATACATGTATTCTTAGAATAGCATGGCCCTATTTCTAACATCACACAAATAAACAGTATGCCAAAGAAGTGTGTAAGGAGAGAAAGATGATAGAATGGGAAAACGTTGTAACTACAATATACTCTAATTCATATGCACTTTCAGATTCTCACCAACCTTTGTTCTAAATGACCAGCTAAGTGGGATTTAGCAGGCAGACGGAAAATCAGGCACCAAAGTTTTTAATCTAATTTGCTGAGAACAAACTGGGTGACCTTGCATCGTCTCCCACTCCTTTGCTTTAAATCTTCCGGTACGTAGAGTAACATCAAGAAACAGCCAGCAAAATACAAAGTGGTACACAAATCCTTAAGAACTGGTTATAAGAAGAATTCCTGGATTTTTATGATTAAAAGGGTCACTAGTGATGATTTAATCCAATCCACTCACTTTACAGATGAGGAATCACAAGCCAAAAATGTGACTCGATCTGCCCCAAATCCCATAGCCATTTAGTGGTAGAACTGAGACAAGAACTGAGATCTCTGGACTCCTAGTTCTATGATCTTTGCGATGGACATTAAGTCTTCAAATCAACTGAACTACACAGAAAAAAACCTAAGTCTTGGTCACTCTTGAATAGTAAGCATATACCCTGTTCAGAAAGATGAAAGAAAAAAACATAAGGTACTTGATCACTACAGGCTTAGATGCACAAGACTGCAGGATAACATCTTAACATTGTGTTTGATCCCAGGTGCTTCAAATTTGCCATCTTATACTCAGCCACGTTACTAATGTCTTCTGCAGTCACGTGAGCTAGGCGATAAACATCTTGCCGTTTCAATATTTTGGAAAGCCACAGCTCAGTCCTGAATGCCAGGCTATAAATCCTTAAGCTATGAGTTTTCAAAACCAGCATGGTTTTAGTGCTGCCACAAGGCTCACCCTAATAGAATCTCATCATTCAGTTTTAATTAAAGAGGTGGTTACCAGGAATGCAGAAAGGGAAAGTTTTAGTGTGTTCATCACTTTTAACCTGCTGAGTGGCAACCCAGTCACTTTACAACGAGATTCAGAAACAATAGTGTAATCTGAAACAATCCACACCCGTTGGAATAAGTGGTTGCTTTTAGAGAGAGTGAGGTTCAGGCAGAGGTTATAGATTAGTCTTGCTCCCACCAAATACATAGTTTGCATTTTTTTCATTCATTAGCTTATCCTCTGCTTTTTCATAATATCTTGGTTTCCAGTCTTGCCTCATTCAACAATAAAAAGAGACGAAAATCCATTCACTTGGTTTCATGGAGTTTTTCCATCATACCTTCTTGAAGATTGATTGCCTGGCTGTTCCCTTGAAGTAATCGCCTAAGAATTACGTCTTGGATAGCCCAACTCCCGCATTAAACTTACTGCAGGTGTCTGAAGAGGTCCAAAGACCATACTGAGTGACATCCCTGCCCAAGTGATAGTCTGAAGAAACTTGTCAGAAATGCACCCCCAGAACAAAAAGGGATGTGGGAAACTGACCTAGCACGGATGAGGACTGGGAATGAGCCTGTGACTTAGGGAATGAATTTCAGCCCAAGCAAAAATAGGAAACACCAGCCTCTAAGACGGCCTGTGGTCCTTACCGTACACCCGGACCCAGCTCTGTTGCTGGCACACGGACTCCAGAAGGATCCGATCCAACATGCCACCGGCGACGGCTCCACTGACTGGGACAACCGCGTCCAGGTCCTCCGGGGGCAGCGGCGAGTCGGACTCCAGCGCCGGGAACATCTCCGGCCAGGACAGCGCCTCCGCGGCTCCTCCGGACGACGGAGAGAGCTCCATGGTGCCCCGAGGCGGGAGGGGGACGAGGCGGCGGCTTCGGGGCGGGCTGGCGCGCGGCTCCGCGCCCTGCCTGCGGTAAGGGGAGGAGGAGAGCGCGCAGCGAGGGCAGGGACCCGAGCGGCAGCCGGCGCGGACACCTCTCACCTCCTTCCCCGTCGCCCACTGCCCGAGGCTCGGGCGATGCAGCCCACCTGCAGTCGGCGGGCGGGACCCAGGCCGGGAGGAGGATCCAGCGTGGCCCCGACCAAGGGTGGGTCCGGGCTCAGGTGTGTGTGGGTCCCTCCCGGGAGAGGACGCAGAAGAACCCGGGAGGGGAGGCTCGCCCTCCCACCTCCTCGGAGCCGCCTTCTTCAGCCCCGCCGGCGTCTCTCGCGGTCAGACCAGGCTCTGGCTGGGGATGGAGCGGGGCCGGGCAGGGCTGGGCTTGGGGGCGTCGCCGCCAGGGGCCGCCCCCTCTGACCGGCTCCCGCCGCCGCCGCCTCAGAAGCTCCGAGTGCCCGTTCCCTCAGCCTGAGGAGGGGTAGGGGGCGGTGGCCCCGGGTTCTAGCCCGCCTGTCCTCGGCCCCCACTTCTGGAATGAGCCTGCCCGCCCCCTGACTCTCAGGCCACAGCTCCGGCCACAGCTCTGGCTCCTGCTCCGCGGCGGATCCCACAAACCCGGCAGCCACGGCGGTGGCGGTGGCGGTGGCGGTGGCGGTGGCGGCGGCGGCGGCGGCGGCAGCGGCAGGCGGCATCCCAGGGTGATAGGCTGAAGCAATCGAGGGCCGAGAGCCCGGCCGCGTGTGCACTCGAGTAACGAAGCCGGGGAGGGACTGCGCCGCAGGCAGGAAAAGTCGGACACCGAATTATTCATCCGGCCTGTCCCGCCTACTTTCCAAGTACCCTCCCAGGGATAGCCGGGTATTGAGCGGTCCGGGTCTCTGCTGCTCAAAGTAAAGACCGTTTGAGAAGGCGGGGAGGTAAAAGGGTGCGGGAAATTTAAACAGAAAAGAAAGGAGCTTCCCTTCCTTCTCACACCTTTCCTATTTATTTGTTTCTTTCTTTCTTTATGGGCCAACGTTTCTTTCTTATTGGACAAAGAGATCGAAGAAGCTGCTTTATCTTACAGTCACCCAAGGGGGAGCGCCTTCTTCCTTCCCAGAGTGGAGTGGCAGTGGGTCCGGGATTCTGGGATATGCACAGGGTCTGCGCCCTGCGCCCTGTCCGCGCTGAAGCTGAACTTGTCATTGGTTTGCAACAGCATGGTGAAGAAGTGTGGTGTGGATGGACGGACGGGCCTCTCAGGCACATGAAATACTCAAAGCCCAGTATTAACCAAACATGTTTCTCTGTTTTGTCTTTGATCTTTGTGCAGTGTGTTGGCTTTTTTCCTTTAATGATGTCACTTGTATTTTATTTTTGGTTTATTTGTAGACTGTCTCCCTCCTTGGCCATGGCTTTACTTTTATGTCCACCCAAGGAGAGTTTCACCAGTTTAGGTTTAAGAAATTACTGACAAGTTAACAATAATAATTTCAAAATTGAACAGTAATAACTTAAACCGTGCCTTGGACATAGTAGATCTCCAACAGTTTTTCTTGAATGTGGCTACCTAATGTGGAACAAGATTTTTCATAATTACATGTTGCTATTTTTAATACCTTTTGGGAGGTTCTTTAGTCCCCCCCGCCCTTTCTCCCTACGTTGCACAAAGAGACTGGTCTACAAGGGGTCCTGTTAGTTTTCTGGTTTTGTGGGGTCCTGGAATATTGTTTGGGCTTATTGAGAGTTAACAAGGATGTATTTTGTGAGTTTCTCCAAAGTCTTATTTAGAGTAATAGTATTTCAAAGCAAGAAGTGTTTTAGAGAGAACATCATTCTGCCTCTTGTTTAACAGGTGAGGAAACTGAGGAAAAACCAGCTTACCTGGCTAATCAACCACAAGTACAGATAGTTCCACAATGACTCAATGGATATTACTTCAACTTTGTTCCCTCAAGAAACTTTTGTGATTAAGCTTGTTGATTTGTGGCTTGATGGTTTACAGGAATGGTCATTTTTAATATCTAGGACCCTGCTTGCTTGCTTGCTTGCTTGCTTACTAGACTGGCTGCATAGTCAGTCTTCCACGTGTAAACAACAGTGTGTGCTTTAGTGGATAAGAGATGTTGAGTGCTGAGATTTCAAGGCTCAGCACTGAGTAGACCTAGAGCATTTTTATTTATACTAAATTAATGCCATGGTAACATAAGTTAGACAGCAAGTGAATATGGCATCAAATGTACAAAGTTGAGTATCTCTTTACTAGTCAATGTATAAGGAATTTATTTACCCAAGCAATTATCTTAAAAACAGCATTACAAGTGGTATGCGAAACATTTCCAGAATTTATTTCCACATCTGCTCTTTCAGTGGCATCATCCATTCCTGAGCTCAAGAAAAGGCCTCTGCCAACCGCCAGTAATCCTGCTTTTTTAGTAATCCTACTATTTTTTTTTTAACTTTAAGTTCTGGGATACATGTGCAGAACATGCAGGTTTGTTACATAGGTATACATGTGCCTATGTATACCTATGTAACATGGTGGTTACAGTAAACATGGTGGTTTACTGCATCTATCAACCCGTCATCTAGGTTTTAAGCCCTGCATTCATTAGATATTTGTCCTAATGCTCTCCCTCCCCTTTCCCCCACGCCCCGACAGGCCCCAGTATGTGATATTACCCTCCCTGTGTCCATGTGTTCTCATCGTTCAACTCCCACTTATAAGTGAGAATATGCAGAGTTTGGTTTTCTGTTGTGTTACTTTGCTTAGAATGATGGCTCCCAGCTTCATCCATGTCCCTGCAAATGACATGAACTCATTCTTTTTTATGGCTGCATAGTATTCCATGGTGTATATGTGCCACATTGTCTTTATCCAGTCTATCATCGATGGCATTTGGGTTGGTTCCAAGTCTTTGCTATTGTAAATAGCACTGCAATAAACATACATGTGCATGTGTCTTTATAGTAGAATGATTTATAATCCTTTGGGTATATACCCAGTAATGGGATTGCTGGGTCAAATGGTATTTTGGTTCTAGATCCTTGAGGAATCGCCACAGTGTCTTCCACAATGGTTGAACTAATTTACACTCCCACCAACAGTGTAAAAGCATTCCTATTTCTCCATAGCCTTGGCAGAATCTGTTGTTTCCTGACTTTTTAATAATCACCATTCTCACTGGCGTGAGGTGGTATCTCACTGTGGTTTTGATTTGCATTTCTCTAATGACCAATGATGATGAACTTTTTTTCATATGTTTATTGGCTGCATAAATGTCTTCTTTTGAGAAGTGTCTGTTCATATCCTTTGCCCACTTTTTGATGGGGTTGTTTGTTTTTTTCTTGTAAATTTGTCTAAGTTCCTTGTAGATTCTGGACATTAGACCTTTGTCGGATGGGTAGATTGCAAAACTTTCTCCCATTCTGTAGGTTGCCTGTTCACTCTGATGATAGTTTCTTTTGCTGTGCAGAAGCTCTTTAGTTGGATTAGATCCCATTTGTCAATTTTGGCTTTTGTTGCAATTGCTTTTGGTGTTTTAGTCATGAAGTCTTTGCCCATGCCTATGTCCTGAATGGTATTGCCTAGATTTTCTTCTAGGGTTTTTATGGTTTGGGGTTTTACATTTAAGTCTTTAATCCATTTTCAATAATCCTACTTTTTAAATCCAAACGTTCCAGATACTGGTCCCTGCTTCACCTCCCTATCCTGACCCCAGACTAGCAGCAGGTCATTATCTAATTGCCTAAGTAATAGTATGTCTGAAATTTATCTAGTGTTCATAACTTAAAAATAAAATACTTTCACAGGCCAGGCATGGTGGCTTACACCTATAATCATAGTGCTTTTAGAGGCTGAGGCAGGAGGACCACTTGAGCCCCAGGAGTTTGTGACCAGCCTGGACAACATAGTGAGACCCTCATCTCTACAAAAAAATAGAAAAAAATTAACTGGGCCTGGTTGCAAACACCTGTAGTCCCAGCTACTCAGGAGGCTGAGGCAGGAGAATCACTTGAGTCCAGGAGTTTGAGACTGCAGTGAACCATAATTGCACCACTACATTCCAGCCTGGGCAACAGCATGAGACCCTGTCTCAAAAAAAAGAAAAGAAAGAAAGAAAATACTTTCACAACCTGAACAATAATTCTGTGAGATAAGTAGAACCAGTATTTTAAAATCATCATTTAGAGAATTTAAAAAAAAAATTAAGCATAGAATTGTATTAAGCAACCTACCTAAACATGGCTACTTAGGAGATTGAGATTAAAACTCAAGTCCCCTAATTTTTAATTTCATTAATAGATCTGGATTCCTGAAGAGTGTTTTTCTTTGGTGTTCTGACATTTGTAGAACCAAAAATAATATTTCATGGTTTTTGCAAATTATTATCATTTAAGAAAAATATCCCAAAAAATATTGAAGAAAAAACAAAACAAAAAAGTTGGAAACCAATTTGCATTGCTGGGAGGCAGTTAATCCTACTTGAACTTACACCAGTGGTATCTCCCCAGAGCCAACCCAGATTTTAATGTGAAGATAAATCCTTGGCTGATGAAGTCTTAGTTAACACTGTAGTTTGCAAACAGTCCTTTATGTGTGAACTACAAGAAAGCTCTCACACCCCTGCCTGCCTTCTCCCCTCCTCTTTCCTCCAGGTTTCAAGCTCCCAAAGGTGATCTACATATTTACTATCATTGGAATTCATAACATCAAGAATCAGACCCAAGTCCCCGGAGAAGTGGGAACTAAAAATTGGGTAACTATCGAGGAGAAGAAATAATAGTTTTCCTATGTCTAAAAACAAATGCTGGCACAAATCTGAGGTTTCTAAAAGACAGAAAGAGGCCTTTGGTTCTGAATACACATTGCCAGTAATAAAGAGAAGTATACATTACCAATAGTCAATAATAAGGGGAGATGAGGGTTTGGAATCTTGGCTGTCACAAAACTGAGGTCCGGGTATGGGTCCAGTTTTCTTCTTCATTCACACACACACACACACACACACACACACACACACACACACACGAGGTTCCCTCTTCACAAATGCTGTTAACTATTTTCTTTCCTTTTAAGGCAGGGCCTTGCTCTGTCGCCCAGGCTGGAGTGCAGTGGCATGATCTTGGCTCACTGCAACCTCCACCTCCCAGGCTCAAGCAATTCTCCCACCTCAACCTCCCAAGTAGCTGGGACTACAGGTGTGCGCCACCATGCCTGGCTAATTTTGCATTTTTTGTAGAGACAGGGTTGCCCCATGTTGCCCAGGCTGGCCTCAAGCTCCTGGGCTCAAGTGATCCACCTGCATCGACTTCCCAAAATGCTGGGATTACAGGAGTGAGCCACCGAGCCTGGCCAGCTATTTTCTTATAGCCAGTCCCTTCTAGACTATGTATGCCCCACCTCTAAGCAGCTAATCCCCAAAACAGTAATGCAATTTTTAAACTGGTTCGCCAGCTCCTCCCTTTCAATATCCTCTCTCCCTTTAGACACGTTTATGCAGCACTCTCCTGATTATAACACTGACTATGCCCAGTCTATCATAAGGAAGAATTCAGACATTTCCCAAGATTCTGCCATCTGTCTTCCTCTCACCTCACTCCCTAAATCCCTGGTGATCTACCCACTTCTGTGATTTCAGCTGTCACTTGGATAATGTTGACTTTGAGAAACTCATCTCCAGCCTTATCCACAGTACTAGGGTCCTATCAGGAGTTTTTAAATGTTGAACACCTCCAACAAAATATGCTTCCTGGACTTCCAACTCAATGCATGGAAAGTGACATCTTCATGATCTCCTTACCCCTTGCCCAACCACCCTTGCCTTCTTGAATTGCCTTTTTATGTTAGTAAAACTAGTGGGTTCTGTCTCAAACTTGCTTATACATGGAGTTACTTTTGAGTCCTCTCCTCCATCCTAGCTTGCATAAATCCAACTCATGCTTTGAATTCGTATTGACACTGTCCTAGCTCAGACCTAGTTAGCTTTCACGAGGATTATTGCATTAGCTTGTTAGCCGTCCTCCTTCCCCTGCCACCTTTCCACCTCCAATACTTTCTACTTTCTGTTGTAGGTGAATTATTCTACAGCACAGTTCAGACCAAATCACATCCAAGCTCAAAAAAACAGCTCCTTGTTGCCTACTAAGTAAAATATATGCTTTACAGAGCTTAAAAGGGCCTTCCAAATGTAATCCCAAACCACTGTTGCTGCCTCGCTCATTGCATGTGCTCTGCCAACCCAATAGACTCTCTGTTCTACAAATACATCCAGCACTTTCCTTGCCCCTTGCCTCGGCTTAATTGTTTCTTCCACCTGGAATGGGACTTTTCAAGGGTCCCCATCAAATACCACTGTCCTCCTCCATCAAGTCATTCCCTATTCTCCAAGCTGGCAATTAGCCTCCTCTGAGTTCCTATAGCATTTGTTTCTGTCTGTCTTCTGGAACCAATCATAGTACATATTATGGAATTATCCTTTGTATAACTCTTTTTTTTTTGAGACGGAGTCTGGCTCTGTCTCCCAGGCTGGAGTGCAGTGGCACGATCTTGGCTCACTGGAAGCTCCGCCTCCCGGGTCCACGCCATTCTCCTGCCTTAGCCTCCTGAGTAGCTGGGACTACAGGCGCCCGCCGCCACACCCGGCTAATTTTTTTTTTTTTTTTTTTGTATTTTTAGTAGAGACAGGGTTTCATTGTGTTAGCCAGGATGGTCTCGATCTCCTGACCTCGTGATCCACCCTCCTCGGCCTCCCAAAGTGCTGGGATTACGGGCGTGAGCCACTGCGCCTAGCCTGTATAACTCTTAATATCTGCTATCAGGTTATAAGCACCTTGAGACAGAAAACTTGTTTCTCCCCGGCAATGTCTTTCATAAATTAACCCCTCAATGAAACCAGAAGCCAAGAAACAAGAAATTATACTAAGGGTTTCTTCATAGATGTTTGGGGCTGCAAAAGATACTAAAATATCCGTTTAATAAGTCCAATCATGCAACTCTCATTTTCTCTCCTGCCCCTGCCCATTTTAAAAATAAACATTCCTAGGCCCAGGAAAATGACATGACTGTGCTCACAAAACTAATGACAGAGGAAAGATTAGAATTCAGATCTCCTGAATCTCAATTCATTAGCCCTATCAAAAGATTCATTCCTTTCCATCCTTTTCTGTCCTTTAAATGGATATTTTTCTTGTTAATAAAGGTTTTCTCAGCAAAGTAATTTTATTCTTTTACATATTATTTAAGCTTAAAGCATTCGTGCCATATTCCTGGCCCCACATATAATTTTAGCAAAATTATACTTATTTTTTTTTAACCAAAGGACCAAACAGAGACATCAGAGAAACATCTGGTCTGATTCATCAGGGTAGCAGCAACATTGCTATTTATACACGAGCACAGCCCTATCTTTGTAGCTCTCAGCTGTTCCTCATTGCTCAGTATGTTCCCCTTTTCAACCTTGTCTGTCCCTCGTCACGATAGCATCCTGCATCCTGAGTCTTAAGCAGAATCTAATGCAATCATAGAAAATATATTTCCTACTCCCTAGAAGGGGTCTGTCTTTAAAAGGAAATATTTCTCTACTCTCTCAATCTCTTCATTGAGGAGTATAGGACAGCAAGCCTCAAGTGGTTGGGTGGCTGCCATTCATTCCACAGCATTCTCGGTAGAAAGAAGTTGGATAGAAACCAAAGCTGTGGCATAAGTCAAGTTTGGAAGCAGGTCAGGTAGAAAGGAAGTGAGCATTCTAAATGGGGAAACTGAGGTTAATGAGGAGAATTTAAGGAGCACTGATTCTCCTCATAGCAGTTAGAAACTTCATGATCTTAGGGAGTCATCAGGACCAAAGAAAGGCTTAGCAATCTTCTTGGGTTTTGTGAGTACCCTTTTATATCTGGCCCGTGTCCTCTAAGAGAAGGCCACTGTTTGTACTAACCAATGACAATATTGTTTGGAAAAGCAGTGGAACAGCCCAGAGACAAACAGACGTCTACCAGTCACTTCTGGGAAAAACTCCTCCAAAATCATGACCTCACTTCAGCATTCAACTACAGGAATGCGAAAAAAGTAAAAATACTCAGATGTAATCACAATGGCCCCTGACATCAGGGCCTAATTAAAACCTTAGAGGTCCTAAGCACTGAAAATAATAAGGTGCCTCACCCCACCTAAAAATTATTTTTGCAAAGTGTTATGAAGAGCAACAAAGTTCTGTTTTATTTTTTCAGTGATAACCACTACAGAATGTGTTTCAGAAATGGCAGATATCAAACTCTTAAAAGTTTTGTATGTGTCTTTGTGTATTCCTACTTTGCCAGTGCCCTAAACACCATATCTGTTGAGTAACCCAGCTCTTCTTGGAATATGCCGAGCCAACCATCTATTAACAGACACTATCTATGAAGAGAGTAATCTTTAGCAAATTAATTTCTGTGTTTTTCTATTAACTATAGAGACACCAAGTTAGGTAACCCTAGCCAAAGAAAATGATCACTTCCTTAGCTTTGTTGTTCTAATGAGTCCTCAAAAATGTGATTAAAAAATCAGAACCAAATGATTCTGAAGAAGAGATTTAAAAAAATTATTCCACTGTCCTCCTATTACTCTGAAAGAAATATTATCTTTTTTTTTTTTTTGAGACAGAGTCTTGCTCTGTCGCCCAGGCTGGAGTGCAGTGGCATGATCTCAGCTCACTAAAACCTCCACCTCCTGGGTTCACGCCATTCTCCAGCCTCAGCCTCCTGAGTAGCTGGGACTACAGTCACCCGCCACCACGCCTGACTAATTTTTTTTTTTTTTTTTGTATTTTTAGTAGAGACGGGGTTTCACCGTGTTAGCCAGGATGGTCTCGATTTCCTGACCTCGTGATCCGCCCTCCTCGGCCTCCCAAAGTGCTGGGATTACAGGCGTGAGCCACCGTGCCTGGCCAAGAAATATTATCTTAATTGGTCAATATGTGGAGGCTACACAACCATTTTCATTTTTCTCTGATATCTTAAAGATGTCAAGACATTGGTTATAATAGCTAAAGCCTATTTAAGACTTGTGAATAAAGAAAAAAATATCCAAAATATATCCTTTGTAAGCTGTTATCTAAATATGGATGAAGAATCTCTTCCCAGTGTTGATTATGGTTAATCGTTAGTATTGAGAAATAAGAAACCTGGAAGGGTTTTTTTTTTTTTGGTCATTTTTCCATTAGTTTATAACAGGAAATTATTAGCAGGATAACCAGGGAGGAGCTGGAAGGTTAGAAGCAAGTAGTCAGAAAGTGGGATATCAGAATCTAAGATTGCTAAGGTGTAATGTCTGAGTGATGACAAGATACAAAATGTGGTCCTAAGTGGTGGATGACTAAAGTAGATTGAAGGAGAAGGTCAGAAGGGTTAAGAAGGTACAAAAATTAAAAAGCTAAGTTAGTGGAACAGTTGTTAACAGCAACTCCTAGGATGGTACTAGGAGGTAGGATAAAGATAAAAACTATTGGGGAGTTAAGTCCCCAAATTTTTGGAGAATGAAGGGAACCAAGTGGCAAAAAGGAAGATAGGGTAGAGGGAACCCTTAAGAAAAGAGTAAGCATTTACATGAGAGTTCAAGAGTGGTGGTCTGGAAGTAGCAAAGGACAGTCAGCCAAATGCTAACCCCTGCATCCCAACTCCCTCTACAGCACAACAGAACAAAGTATGTGGGAGAATGAACAGCCTCAACTAGAGGATGTTGCAAGGCAAATCCTAGCCTTGAAGTGGGTCTTCACGGATCACGAGGTCAGGAGATAGAGACTATCCTGGCTAACACGGTGAAACCCCGTCTCTACTAAAAATACAAAAAATTAGCCGGGCGTGGTGGCGGGCGCCTGTAGTCCCAGCTACTCAGGAGGCTGAGGCAGGAGAATGGCGTGAACCCGGGAGGCGGAGCTTGCAGTGAGCCGAGATTCCGCCACTGCACTCCAGCCTGGGTGACAGAGCGAGACTCCGTCTCAAAAAAAAAAAAAAAAAGAATGTAGAATGTCTTATTTATAATGGGATAATGGTTCCAGATGGCTCAGTGCAAAGGATGATTAAGGGGTTTGTAGTGATAGCCACAAGAGGTGAGAAAGAGGGGTTTCATAGTGATAGGCAGATGTGAGAAAGTACTGAACCATTCATTAAGGGGGTGAAGGCAATAGAGAGCACAGGTGACTAGAAATATTGCCCATTCAATCAATGACTGGGGATTAGAGGAATGAGGGAGAGATGGGCTTCAAATATTATACTTTGGCTCACTGTGAAGCCTGTCACAAAGTTTTTGGAAAGGCCACAAGGACCTTGTTCTAATCCAAGCTGTCTCCCTGTGTCTGGAGCTGAAGCAATGAGCCTAGTGAGGACAGAGCTCTCTCAAGGTTTGTGGCTCAATAGAGGGGTTGTTTTTCCATTTCATGAGAACTCTACTCTGTAGATACCTTCATTTTATTCCAGTTGATCAGCCTTTCCTAGACTCTGTTAGTTCCGTGCTCTGCCTGGGACTAATGATTGATCATCTAAAACACACTACTCCTGGGCCAGGAGTGGTGGCTCATGCCTGTAATCCCAGTACTTTGGGAGATTGAGGCCGGTGGATCATTTGAGTTCAGGAGTTTGAGACCAGCCTGGCCAACATGGCGAAACCCCATCTCTACTAAAAATACAAAAATTAGCCAGGCGTGGTGGCACATGCCTGTAATCCCAGCTATTTGGGAGGCTGAGGCATGAGAATCGCTTGAGCCTGGGAGGTGGAGGTTGCAGTGAGCTAAGATTGTACCATTAATTCCAGCCTGGGTGACAGAGCAAGACCTTGTCTCAAAATAGAATAAAATTGAATTAAATTAAAAAAATAAAATACACTAGTCCCTTCTGTTCCCTTGCACCTTGCCCACTGCATCAACTCTGTATCAGTCTCACAGTCTATTTTTCCTTCTCCTCCTTTGTTTTAGTCTGTTCTCACACTGTTATAAAGATACTACCTGAGACTGGGTAATTTATAAAGAAAAGAAGTTTAATTGACTTACAGTTCCACATAGCTAGGGAGGCCTCAGAAAACGTACAATCATGGCGAAAGGTGAAGAGGAAGCGAGGCACATCTTACATGATGGTAGAAGAAGGAGAGAGAGAGTGCAGAGGAAACTACCACTTTTAAACCATCAGATCCTGTGAGAACTCCCTCACTATCACAAGAACAGCATGAGGGAAACTGCCACAGTGATTCAGTCAACTCCTACTATGTCCCTCCCTCAACAAGTGGGGATTACAATTTGAGATGAGATTTGGGTGGGGACACAGAGCCAAACCATATCATCCTTCTCAAACAGTTGAGGCCTGGAGAAAATCCCATAACCTGGAGTCATCTGCTGCTACAGATTCAAGCTCAACTGGGCCCTCAAAGATTTCACCAACCCCTTAACTTGTCTTTGATCAGTTCCCTCTCCCATTCTGCTCAGTGAATAGACCTAATCTTTGTCTTCCCTCCTCAAGACCTGGTCAACTCCCAACTCTCATTCTCAACAAATGTTTCCACCTCCTGTTTCAAAGAGAAAAATTGAGGCACTAAGTAAGATCTCCTTCAACATCCATATCCCTCCAGTCTTTTCTTTCAGGCTCAGGGGATGAGAGCTCCCTCCTCTTTTTCAAAGGTCAGATGCTCCCACCTCTTTTAGGGCTTAAGCAATTATTTTCTCTTTTTTCCTTCAACCACACCCTCAACACTGACTCCTTTCAATTCATATGTTCATCTCTCCCATCTAATCAAAAAGTTGGCCGGGCACGGTGGCTCATACCTGTAATCCCAGCATTTTGGGAGGCCGAAGTGAGTGGATCAGTTGAGGTCAGGAGTTCGAGACCAGCCTGGCCAACATAGTGAAACCCTGTCTCTACTAAACATACAAAAATGGCTGCGCATGATGATGGGCATCTGTAATGCCAGCTACTCAGGGAGGCTGAGGCAGGAGAATCGCTTGAACCTGGAAGGTAATGGTTGCAGTAAGCCGAGATCATGCCACTGCATTCCAGTAACATGCCACTGCACTCTGGGTAACAGAGCAAGACTCTCAGAAAAAAACAAAAAACGCTACTGACTGACGAAGTGCACTGATGTCTACAAATTTCTTTGAAATGCATCTAAAAAAATAGGCTGGATTGATGGATGGATAGATGTAGAATAAACCAAATAAAGCAAAATGCTCTTTGTGGAATCTAGGTTGTGGGTAAATGAGTGTTCACTGTACAGTTCTTTCAACTTTTCTGTGTTTTTTAAAATTGTCATAGCTGGGCACGCTGCCTCACGCCTGTAATCCCAGCTACTTGGGAGGCTGAGGCAGTAGGATAGCTTAAGCCCAGGAGTTCGAGGCTGCAGTGAGCTATGACTGTGCCATTACACTCCAGTGTAGGCAATAGAGCAAAATCCTCTTTTAAAAAATTATAATAAAAGTGTTGGGGTACACAACATTTTTATGGGGGTGTGGCTTCCAACCCAGCGTCTTCCTCAAGCCACTATCCAATCTTTCTTCCTTTCTCTACCTGAACTTTTCTAAAGGGTAGATGATACTCACTATCTTCACTACTTCCTTACCTCCCAGCCACTGTTTTTCTTCAGATCTTTAAAAAAAGAGATAAAATGGTTTTGTGTCTTTATAAAATGTATATATATATATATATATATATATATATATATATATATATATATCCTAGACTTTACCTTTTACATTCAGTATTGTTTCATGATTTATCTACGTTGATACTTGTGATTCTATTCCATTCATTTTAACTGCTGTATAGTTGCATGTCATATAAATAGTCCATCCATTAGTTTACATATTCCACAGAAATGGTTGTTTCCACCTTTTTTATTGCAAACAATAAAGCAGTGATCATCCTTAAGGCACTTCTCCTTATGTATATATGCATTTCTCTAGATATATGTTCAGAAATTGAATTGCCATGTGTAGGGAATACACATATTCAACTCTACAAATAGTTGGAAAATTGCTTTTCATAGTGGTTGTACCAATTTACTTTCCCATCAGAAGATATAGAAATTCCTTTCTTCACGCTGTTGCCAAGATTTAGCATTATCAGATTTTTAGATTTTGCTATTATCACATATATGAAAAGCAACCCAATGTTAATTCTGAATTTTCCTCTTTAGGAGAGAGGTTAAACATCTTTTGATATGCTGTTGACAATTTGGGTTTTACTTCTCTGAATTGCCTATTCACGTTCTTTTTATTTATTTTTAATTTTTTTTTTTTTTGAGACTGAGTCTTGCTCTGTTGCCTAGGCTGGAGTACAGTGGCTCAATCATGGCTCACTACAACCTTAAACTCCTGAGCTCAAGTGATCCTCCCACCTCAACCTCCCAAGTAACTGGGACTACAGGTGTGCACCACCACGCCTGGCTATTTTAAATTTTTTGTACAGATGGAGTCTTACTATGTTGACTTGGCTGGTCTCAGACTTCTGGCCTCAAGTAATCCTCCTGCCTTGGCCTCTCAAAGTGCTGGGATTACAGGCATGAGCCACTGTGCCTGGCCAATTCACATTCTTTGATAATTTTTTTTTCCATTGCATTTTTGTCTTTTCCTTATTGATTTATAAAAGTTTTCCCTGTATATATGCTGTACTCTAATCTTTTGTCAGTTTTTTTAATTGTAAACATTTTCTCCTGGTCTTTTAACATAGTTCATGGTATTTTTTCTCACATAGGAATTTATTTTAGGCTGGGTGCAGTGGTTCCTGCCTGTAATCCCAGCACTGTGGAAGGCCAGCGCAGGTGGGTGGATCGCTTGAGCCCAGGAGTTCAAGACCAGCCTGGGCAACATAGCAAAACCCTATTAAAAATACAAAAAAATTAGCCTGGTGTGGTGGCATGTGCCTGTAGTCCCAGCCACTAGGGAAGCTGAGGTGGGAGGATGGCTTCAGCCTGGGAAGTGAAGGTTATAGTGAGCTGAGATTGCACCACTGCACTCCAGCCTAGGCAACAGAGTGAAGAGTGAGACCCTGTCTCACAAGAAGGAAGGAAGGAAGGGAGGAAGGGAAGAAAGGAGGGAGGGAGGGAGGGAGGGAGAGAGGGAAGGAAATTTTAATTTATCATGTTTATGTTCATTTATGATGTAAGTTTTTCATGCCTTAAAATGGCCTTCCCTACTCCAAAGTTATAAATGTATTCTCCTCTACTATATTCCAAAAGCTTTATTATTCTGCCTTTCACATTGAAAAGTTTAATCCACCTGATATGTATTTATGTATATAGTGAGAAAGATCTAGTTTTTCTCTATATGGATAACTAATTGACCTAGCACCACTTATTGAATAGTACAGCTATTTCCTGCTGCTTTATATGTTCTATCACATACCAAGCTCTCCTATGTGTTGCTCTCTGTTCTGTTGAACTTTATATTTACTTATGCTCTACTACCATACCATCTTAATTCCTTTCCATTCTTATTTTCCTTTTTCAAATTTGTTTTGCTTGTTCTTGGCGCTGAACTCTTCGATGGGCATTTTATAATCAAATGTCAAATTCCACAAAGCACTCATTGAGATTCTGATTGTAAAATGTTAAATGTATACATTAATTAGGGAGAATTGCCTGGTTATAATATTGAGTTTCCCTTCAAGAACATGATATATTTCTTCCATTTTGTATTCATTGATAAAGTCTCATTTTTTTTTCCATATAAGTCTTAGACATATTTTGTTAAATCTATTTCTGGGTACATTATGGCTTTTGTTGGGACTGCAATTTAGATATTCTTATTATATTTTCTAATTGGTTATTGCTGTCATAGAAAAACACTATTTTTGTTTTATTTTATTTTATTTTATTTTGAGACGGAGTCTTTCTGTGATGCCCAGGCTGGAGTGCAATGGCATGATCTTGGCTCACTGCAGCCTCCGCCTCCTGGGTTCAAGTGATTCTCCTGCCCCAGCCTCCTGAGTAGCTGGGACTACATGTGTGCACCACCACGCCCAGCTGATTTTTGTATTTTTAGTAGAGATGGGTTTTCACCATATTGGCCGGGCTGGTCTCAAACTCCTGACCTCAAGTGATCCGCCCACCTTGGCCTTCCAAAGTGCTGGGATTACAAGCGTGAGCCACTGTGCCAGGCTGAAAAACACTATTGATTCTTGAACATTGGCTTTGTGTCCATCAACCTTGAAAAACTCTCTTAGAAGTATTGATAGGCTGGGCACAGTGGCACACACCTGTAATCTTAGTATTTTGGGAGGCCGAGGTGGACGGATCACAAGGTCAAGAAATAGAGACCATCCTGGCCAACATGGTGAAAACCCGTCTCTACTAAAAATACAAAAATCAGCTGGGCATGGTGGTGCACACATGTAGTCCCAGCTACTCAGGAGGCTGAGGCAGGAGAATCGCTTGAACCTGGGAGGCGGAGGTTGCAGTGAGCCAAGATTGCACCACTGCACTCCAGCCTGGCATCAGAGCGAGACTCTTTCTCAAAAAAAAAAAAAAAAAAACCCCAAAAGTATTGATAAAATGTCAAAAGATTGTCTTGAATATCCTCTGTAGACAATTATATTATTTTCATATAATTATTATTTCCTTTCTTTCCAATTCCTATGCTTTTATTTCTTATCTTATTGCATTGTTTAGGACCCCCAGAAACAATGTGGAATGGATACAATACCATGTCTTGTTCTTGACTTTGAAGAAAATGTTTCCATTTTTTTCACCATTAAGTACAATATTTGCTGTAGGTTTTTGATATTTAGGATGATCTGATCTATTTCTGGTTTTCTAAGAAGAATATTTTAAAATAAATGAGGGCCTGGCATGGTGGCTCACGCCTGTAATCCTAGCACTTTGGGAGGCCGAGGCGGGTGGATCATGAGGTCAGGGGATCAAGACCAGCCTGGCCAACATGGTGAAACCCCGTCTCTACTAAAAATACAAAAATTAGCTGGGCGTGGTGCTGCATATCTGTAATCCCAGCTACTCAGGAGGCTGAGGCAGGAGAATCGCTTGAAGCCGGGAGGCAGAGGTTGAAGTGAGCCAAGATCATGCTACTGCACTCCAGTCTGGCAACAGAGTGAGACTCCATCTCAACAAAGAAAAAAAAAGAATGTTTTCCTATAGTTATTGAGGTGATCATTTAAGTTCCTCCATTAATTGGATATGATAGTGAATTACACTAATAGATTTCAAAAAATAAAGTATCATTCACTTCTGAGATTAACCCCCCTTGATTATACTGCATTTTCAATGAATTGCAAATATTTTGTTTAGTTTTTGTATATCTATATTTATATGTGAGACAAGCTAGTAACTTTCTATTTTGGTCCTGCCCTTGCTTGGTTTGAATATCCTCTTTTGATATTCAAGGGAGTTGCCTCCCTACTCATTCTTAGCTCCTTACAACTCTATGACAACAGCTCTTGAAATGACATCTAAGTAAATAAATTGACATCTAAGTGAATAAATTTATTTTCCTCTAAGCCCTATATTACAACCCCTGTTATAATCATTTGACACAATGATCACTTCCTTCTGAAAATGCATTCTTTATTTTAATATACCACTCTCCTCCTTTTCTTATACATCTCTGATCATTCCTTCTCTACCTTCCTTGTGGGCTCATCTTCTCCCTGGACTCTCCCTTGTCTATCAGTCTACACATGTTCCTTAAGTGATCCAAGGCATCTTCAATGTTTCAACTACCACCTGTACAGAAATGAATTCCAGTGCTGTACTTTCAGACCTCTCCCCTCATTTCTAGCATTTTCTGGCTCATGCTGGCTGTCCCAAAGGCACCCAGAACTTCACGTTTAGAATGAAATTTATCATCTTCTCCATTAAAAAAGTTTTACCTCCTGTTGACACAATCTTAGCTCATGACCCCGTTATCCATACTTGTCATCTGAGAGAGTCCTTTGGTAGTGTCTCTCCTTCATCTCCAAAATCTAATCGGTTACCATGCCCTGAGGGTTTAACTTCCTAAACATTGCTTGACCTGTTCCCACTTCTCCATCTTCACCATCCACACCTCAGATAGGCCACTCTTCATCTTTCACCTGGTCTAGAACAACAATTTGCTAACAAATTTCCTTTGTTTTGTCTACCTTAAATACAGGTATAACCACAGGTACAACTACAACCCCTTTTTAACTGTTCTCTCTATAACACTGAAGTAATTTATTTAAAACTCTACTCTTGCCCTGCCACTTTTCTGCCTCAAAACCCATTAGACTTTCCACATCACAGACAAGATGGTCTACACTTTTTAGAGATAACACTCAGAGTCACCACCGTCTACCTTTTACCCTTTTCTCTAGTGCATTATAACTGTTTCCAGCAAATCAAATCTTGTAGTTTCCTATGTAGTCTTTGCACTTTTCCCCTTCTATGTCTTTGCCTGTGCTGTTCCTTTTGGAACCACATCTCTGCTTCTATTTCCCTCTCCTACACCTAACCCCAATCCAGTTTCCTTCCCATCAGGAATTTGTCTTGAGTAATTCTTCATATCCTTAAAAATCCAACTCAGCTGTCAACTTATTAAAAAGGCCACCCCTGGGTAGGCACAGTGGCTCACATCTGTAATCCCAGTGCTTTGGGAGGAATGAGGCAGGAGGATTGCTTGAGCCCAAGAGTTCAGGGTTACAGTGAGCTATGATTGCACCACTTTATTTCAGCCTGGACTTCAGCCTGGGCAACAGAGCGAGACCCCGTCTCAAGGAAAAAAAAAAAAAGCCACTCCTAACTCTGATCTCTTCCAAAGGGTTCACTAAGTGCCTCTTTCTTCAGTGATCTCATAAAAGCCATGATTGTTTTTATATTTTGCACTTCCTACATTGTATCATAAGTATTTGCTTTTGTATCCCCACTGAACTGTGAACTCATGGAGAGGGACAACTGGGTTTTTTCATATTCAAAGTTCCAGAACCTAGCAGAGTATTTGGCACAGAGTATTTGTTGAATTCAATGAATAAGTGATTTAGCTGAATTGGATATGCTCTTTCCAGCTAACTTTAGGCTTTTCTATTATTATTTAAATTTTAGTTTTCACTAGCCTGCTCATACTACATAGATTTGATAAATTTAATTTTTATTGTTCTGGCTAACCAACTCTAAAAATAATAAAAAACAGTGATCTATCACTGTGGCCAACATGGTTTACATTGGAGTATGGAACCACAGGGGAAAACAGAAACAAATAAAGCAGGATGGAATGATCAAAGGAGAGGATCAAAATCGAAACACACACCACCTATTGTTTTAGTCATTTGGGGCTGGTATGACAAAGCACCACAGACTGGATGGCTTATATACAAATGAAATTTATTTCTCGCAGTTTGGAAGGCTAGAAATCCTAGATCAGCATGCTGGCAGGGTTGCATTCTGGTGAGGGTCCTCTTCTGGATTGCAGACTGCTGTCTTCTCATTGAATCCTCACATGACAGAAAGAGGGCAAGGGAGCTCTCTGGGGTTCTTTTTATAGGGGCGCTAATTCCACTCATTAGGGCACCACCCTCATGACCTAATTAGCTCCCAAAAACACTACCATCTAATACCATCACATTGGGGGATGACATACGAATTTGTCAGGGGGAGGACACAGACATTGTCTGTTGCACCTATCATCTCTAATGAGAGTTTTCACTAATACTATGGTGAGGGGTGATTAATATTTATCAGCAGAATCCTATTGTCAGTGGCTCTTAGATTATTTGTGAAGTCAAATACCACCTTGCAGTTTAATAAACTCACCTGGAAACCTCATCCCATGTGTTATGGGAAGTTGGTGCTCTCCCAAACTCCCTGAGATACTTCTGGGCTTCCCATTCTCTTGGTACCTCTGGGTTTGATTTCTGGCTTCTGCTGAATTACCATTCTTCACTCTGCAGTATCTTGCAGCTGTTCCTTTATCTTCTTTTGGCACTGACCCAGGGATGTGTTACAGCTCCTCCTCTTTGATTTCCCATCCCAAATTCATGAGAGGCAGCTGTGTGTGGTAGCCTGTTCCTGGCAATTCAAAGATAATGTTTGCCATATAGGGAGGCTACATGGCAAATATGCAAAACTCTTTAGCAGCCAATTTAAAACTGAAAACTTGATTTCCTTGTTCTATTTCCACCAACCCAAATGTAAGCTTCCTGACATTTTGCTCAGCCTCCTCTCCCACTGTGCCTCCTCCCTTACCACTTCTCTCTTCTTCCCATACCTCCCAATAATTGCTTATGCAGAATTATTTTGTGATTTTTTTTCTACTCTTGGCTCTGCAGAATATGATTTTGTGATCTTTTAATTGTTTTTTTCCCCAACCCGTACAGAGCCTCACCTACCACCCCTTAGGCATCTCTCAAGATATTATTATAAATAAAGACAATTACTTACCTAAAAAGAACTCATGTACCAGTTTGCAAAAGAATAATTTCTATTTTCAACTACATTTCTATTTAGAGTGTGTATATATTTATGCTTCAGCTAACTATGTAATAAATTCAACATTGATCATTTTAATCCATGTGATTATTTCTTCTCATCTAAATATTTTGTTTTGTCATAAGATCTTAACACTTTCAGTCCAGGCACAGTGGCATATACTTGTAATCTTAGCACTTTGGGAAGCCAAGGTGGGAGAATTGCTTAAACCCAAGAGTTTGAGACTAGCCTGTGCAACATATTGAGACTCCTGTCTCTACAAAAATAAAAATAAAAATCAGCTGGGCTTGGTGGCACATGCCTACAGTCCTAGCCACTTGGGAGGCTGAGGCAGGAGGATCACTTGAGCCCAGGAGGTTGAGGCTGCAGTGAGCTATGATGGCACCGCTGTACTCCAGCCTGGGTGACAGAGCAAGACTCCACCTCTAAACAAAATAAATCAAAACAAAACACTTTTAGTTATATCTAACAATTGGTGCCTGAACCTGGTGATACTAAGCAACATGGATTGTTACCCCAGTGTTCAGGTTGGGACAATCAAACAAAATAGTAGTTTTTAAGAATTACGTCTGAACTAGGCCTCAAAATATTCTCAACTCATTCCCTTTAAATAATACATGTATTTTATACATGTATATGTGGCCAATCTGAATGGAATACTTCTGAACAACAGCAAATATTGATGGTGCCTAAATTTTTAGAATCCCAGAAATATCCTCTTTTGCAAATACCTGAATTCATTCCTGCCGGCAAATATTTGTTAAGAGGCTACTGTGGGTCAGGCACTGCAGTAAACCCTGAGGACTAATGGAGAAGAAAAGAGTTGAACTCTGCTTTTGTGGCGCTTATATTCTAGAGGGAAATATGGTCAATAGGAAGGAAATAGAAAGTTACATATAGTGGTAAGTTCTATGAAGAAAGTCAACATGGTGAGTTAATAAAGAACAGGTCGGGGGCGGTGGCTCACGCCTGTAATCCCAGCACTTTGGGAGGCTGAGGCAGGCCTCTACTAAAAATACAAAAAATAAAATTAGCCGGGCATAGTGGCACGCGCCTGTAGTCCCAGCTGCTCGGGAGGCCGAGGCAGAAGAATCACTTTAACCTGGGAGGCGGAGGTTGCAGTGAGCTGAGATCGCGCCACTGCACTCTAGCCTGGGTGACAGAGTGAGACTCTGTCTCAAAAACAAACAAACAACAACAACAACAAAAAACAAGTAGTGGGTGGAGGGGAGTACTCTTGATAGGGTAGTTTCATTTGTCCTTCTTGAGCTTTGCTTGATCTGCTGAGAACTAAAAAAAAAAAAGGAGGGGAAACCAGTTAAGATTGCATACGCATTCGTTGAATTGACTGAAAAAAGAAAAAGAGGCCATTGCAATAGTCGTGGAAAAAGATGATGGTGGCTTGGACTAGGGTTGTGGCATTTGAAGAGATATAGTCAAGATATATTTTGGAGGTAGACCCATAGTAATATTTGCTGGTGGATTATATATATGGGATGTGAAAAACAAAATCAGGGATAACTTCTATGTGTGTGGCTTGGGAGACTATATAGTTCATTTTCACACTAAGATGAAGAAGACTAGAAGAAGAACAGGTTTGAATCAGTGTTCCATTATGGAACTATAAGTTTGAAATATCTCTTGGACTTTCGAATAGAGATATTGGTTTTATGGTGAATGGTTAGGGCTGTGATATGGTTTGGTTCTGTGTCACCACCCAAATCTCATCTTGTAGCTCCCATAATTCTCACATGTTATGGGAGGGACCCTGTGGGAGATGATTGAATCATGGGGTTGGGTCTTTCCCATGCTGTTCTTGTGGTAGTGAATGGATCTCAGGAAATCTGATGGTTTTAAAAATGGGAGTTTCTCTTCACAAGCTCTCTCGCTTTGCTTGCTGCCATCCACGTAAGATGCAACTTGTTCCTCCTTGCGTTCTGCCATGATTGTGAGGCCTCCCCAGCTATGTGGAAATGTAAGTCCAATAAACCTCTTTCTTTTGTAAATTGCCCAGTCTCGGGTATGTCATTATCAGCAGTATGCAAATAGACTAATGCAGGCTGAAAAGACATATTTGGAGTAGTCAGCACACAGATGTTATTTAAAGTCTTAGAATTGAAGGTGCTCTCTTAAGGAGAGAGTTATACTTAGAGAAGAAGGCCCAAGACTGAGCACAGAGGCACTCCAGCATATAGAGGTCAGGTAGAAAAATAGGAGACAGAAAAAGACTGAGAAGGAGTAGACAGTGAGGCAGGATAAAGCCAAGAGAGTGTGGTGCCTTGAAAGTCAAGGAAGAGTTGGTCAGCAATTAAGTTAGGAACAGAGAGCAATTAAGTTAGAACACTATATATTGTATACCCAGAGCAAGAATCTCCCCAGTCTATAAGCTTTCTTAGCCTGAAAATACAGGTTAGAAAGGGTTTATCACATCAACATTTTCAGGAAAGATTTTGCATCCTAATTGGGTGCCTGAAGAGGCATCAGGTCAGGGCATGATCATGTGATATGGGTTTTTCCAGGCTTGTGATTGAACAGAATATGCAATGGTAGTCAGTGAACATGTGACTCTGAGCTGCCTCAATGCTGACATAAATGTGTTGGCTGATTGTTAGTAGATAATTCCAAAAGATCTCTGTGATGAGAACAAAGTGTAAAGACATGATTATAAAATTAGTATGGGAGTTTCACAATTTTCATGGTGAAAGCAGGATCATCTTTATTAAATTGTACCCAATTCTTTTTTGCAGAAGACATTGATCATTAGGAGTAAGGAGTGGGTACCTCTTTATCATCCTTGTGGGGTCCCTGTGCGTAATTCTAGCTCCCAATTGAAAGTAGAAGCATTGGTGGTGGAAAGAAACACAACTTTTCATTTTTACGTTACTATAAACAGTAATGACATTCTAGAAACCATTCTTGTCATGGCAAGTCCTGTGCCAATGTAGGATACAGCCATTTTGATAAAGGCTGTTTTGTCATAGTCAAGTTTGCTGACACACAGCTTTGGCTGTCATTTTGATGCCAAGAACATCTTGATGTGGCTGCCTTGATGTGGCTGTTTTGATATGGGAATATTTTGACTCTGCCTAAAAACAAACCAATAAACTTTTGCTTAAAAAAAGTATGTTTAAGTAATGCGCCTGAGAAATATCTTTATCCACTCCCTGAGCCCCTCTCATCTTTTAGCCCCCACCAGTAGAAGCCAGACTGCAGAAGTAAACAGTGGGACCCTTGAAAGGAAAAAAAAAATCACTGTAGGGGAGGGAAGAGACTGGAACAGGGGACCTGACCCAGCAACACAACCTGAAGGGAAAGAAAGATGGTTCTAGTAAAGCCTAACTGTTTTCAAACCCATCCTGACGCAGCTCCTTGAAGAAGTCATCCAACACATTCATATGACACCGAAAGGGGATTAAGGGGCTCTGCTGTAAGACAAACCCCACTGCCACTCAAGAGCTCACAGGAGCCGTGCATGACCAGGCATTTCTCTGACAAGACACGTACCATTGAATGAAGAACAGCACCACTGAGCAGAAAGATTTAAAAAGCCACAGCACTGCACACCCAAACAGTAGGCAGTAATCGCAGGCTGCCAAGTGACAGAGTTAGGGGGACGCATGGAGAAATTAGATGATTGAGTTTGGGGTTGATCTAGAGTTGACATTTTGTCATTCAGGTGTAACTAGGCACTAGGATGAGGAAAGTAAAATGCCTCAGGCCTGTTGTCCCACTCACACCATGAGGGATCGAAAGTGTCCTATCTTGTTGCCCCTAGTAGTTGAAAAGAGAATATAAATTGCCTTCCTCTAAATCCTTTTCCTCTCTAATAATTCTCTCTTTAAGCAACAATAGAACTGAAACATTTACTCTGGGAAGCCAATTAAATCATTAATATGATTAATGGTATAATTTCTCCAGTACCAGGTATTCATATCACTTAAGCTCATGAAATAAAATATTAAATATTTTCAAAAGATGAATCTGTCTATTTCTGTCATCATTATCTCTTTAAATATTTGAAATGTTATTTAATTGAATTTTAAAATGTTCGTAGAGAGTATTGAATGATACGTAATAGGAAAATCTATATGGTGCATGTGATTTGTTTCGTGGAAATATTAATTTCTCCTATCTCCAAAGCCATTTACTTCATCTTCCACTGCAAGGATTTTCTGTTTTCTTTTCATTTCAGTCTGTTCTAAATACTCATTTTAATTTAGGTCAGCAAATACATATTAAATACTACTATGTACCAGTCACTTTGCTAGGTACTATAGAGAAAAAATATATAAATATGAATCAGAAATATTCCCTGCCTTCAGGAAATATATTGAGGGAGACAGGGTTGACTTTTTGCAAAATACAAAATAAATAGAGATATCATCGGGCACTTTTCTTATGCATTTAAATATCATCTGATACATTTCAGGTGTGGTAAGCTAGCAGAATCAAAATTATTTGGGACCACAATGACTGGAGCAATTAAACCCTATTTGAAGGAGGAAAAGGAAAATGACATTTAACTCTAGGAGCCTATTCTGTGATAAGCACTGTGCTAAATACTTTATGTAAATTATCTCATTTAGTCCTCCCAACAGCCCAGTTTTACAAAGGATGAAAGAATAGCTCAGTAACATTAGGTCGCTTTCCCAAGTCACACAGCTTGTTTGGTATGAAGGCCAAATTCAAACCTAGCAGAAGCCATACTCTTTTCAGTCACCTCAAGGAAGGTAGTGGTATGGGTTACCTTCGAGTTAAGAGGACAATTGGCAGCTTCTGATTTAGACCGGACTGTAATGTCTGAAAGAAAGACTTTGGGTTATTAAAACTTTATGAAAAGGAGGAAAACAAATAGTAGTCATAATCAATCTAGATCCACCACTGAGCAATTGGTGGACACATGAGCACGGGGATCAAAATGGCAATTTGTACACATGAATAAAGTGTCCAAGTTGTTAATGAAAGTAACAAAAGAGAGTAATAAAAACATAATGTTTACCTTTCAAAATGACTGTACCCATCCTTTAGCTTCTTGAATCTATAATAGGTTATCTTTTGTTCCAATGAGAAAAATTAATAATAATAATAACATCTATTGAACACTTACTAATGCTGGGCTTCATGCTAAATACATGTGCCATACATACATGTAGAATAGAGGTTGAGATTTACAACAAGGTTCAGCAGGTTCAAATCTTGTTTTCACCACATGTTAGTTATTACCCCCCTCCCAAGTTACTCAACCTATCTGGACCTCAATTTCTTCACCTGAAAAGTGAGGATGTGATAAATAAACACCTGGTAAAAGTTAGCGATTACGCAGATGGAATATGTTTAACCACTGCCCCGGTTAGAAAGGGAGTTTTCTTAGTACACTGGCCCATCAATAAGTCCAGGCTTTCTTCTTTTGTGCTCTCTGCAAGTTAGGGGTCATGCACATAGGGTAAGCAGGCCCAAGCAAAGTCTCAGAGCATGGTGGCCATCACTCCTGCTGGAAGATCCTTGTGTGATGAGAGGATGTCTGTTGTAGAAGAGACACCCTCCACTAATGCCAAAGGCAAGTTGAGAGCCACAGGTGCCGAACAAAACTCAGGGAAGTCAGGCAGACTGCTCCCACTTGTGCCTGGCTGCTCCAACAATACCCATCATGGTATCTGTGACAGCCAGCCTCTGAAATAATTCCCAATGATCACCATCTCCCAGTATTCTCATTCTCATGCAAACCCCTTCCATATTGTACCGGAGATGGTTATATAATAAGACAGAAGAATGTAGCAGAAATGATGGTATGACATCTAAGATTAAGTAATAAAAGATACTGTTGCTTCCATCTGGGTCTCTTTCTCTTTTCTCTCCTTGTCTTTCCTCTCCTCTTCTCTCTCTTAGATCACTCACTATAAGGAAAGTCAGATACTATGTCTTGAACATCCCTATGGAGAGGCCCATGCGGTGAGAAATTGAAGCCTCCTGCTAATAGCCATGTAAGTGAGCTTGAAGCAGGTCCTACAGCTCCAATCAAGCCTGTAGATGACTGCAACCCAGCTAGTGGCTTGACTGCAATCTCATGAGAGGCTCAGAGCCACAAATACTCAGTTAAGCCCCTTTTTGACTCCTCACCCCTGAAACTGTGATATAGTAAATGTTTGTTTTCTTTGACTACTAAGGTTTGGGGTAAATTGTTACAGAGAAATAGATAACTAATAGAATGTCCCCTTTGCTGAGCTGTCCCTCATTCTTACAGGCTTGGTTCTGATTAAGTCTGGACTTCTCTCCAGTGACTCAGACACACACACACATACACACACACACACACACACACACACACACACACACACACAATTCTCTCAGCTTCTTTCTTTTCTCTCCAGAAAGGAGGGAGTCTTTTCTACTCTTCAGGGACCGTCGGTTGTCTCAGAGACAATTCCTCCCTTGCTAATGGCTTAAAGTATATCCCCTGATATCCTTTTCTTAATTGGTTTAGGGGTTCTCAAATTAGGAAGACTCCTTTTGCTTTTTTTTTTTCTCACCAGTTTCACAACCTGCTCTGCCCCATTTTACTTCAAAGAATATACCACAAAGAACAGTTCCAGAAAGAGAATTAGTTAATAACTTAAAAGTTAATATATCAAAAAATATTATTACACCAAATATGTCATCTCCTTTAACAACCCTATGAGGTAAGTGTTCTTATCATGCCCATTTTACAGGTAAACAGTTACCTTGCTTTTGATCACATGGATGGTAGGTGGCCCAACCAGGATGACCACCCTCAGGGTGACCACCTCCAGAGTCTGTGCTTTTAACTATCAAGTAATTCTACCTCCGTATACTAGTTATACCGATGTAGTGACTATAGAATCTAAAGAAAAAATGATAGGCCGGGCGCGGTGACTCACGCCTGTAATTCCAGCACTTTGGGAGGCCGAGGCGAGCAGATCATGAGGTCAGGAGATCGAGACCATCCTGGCTAACACGGTGAAACCCCGTCTCTCTAAAAATACAAAAAATTAGCCAGGCGTGGTGGCATGACCTGTAGTCCCAGTTACTCGGGAGACTGAGGCAGGAAAATCACTTGAACCTGGGAGGCGGAGAGTGCAGTGAGCTGAGATCGCGCCACTGCACTCCAGCCTGAGTGACAGAGCAAGACTCTGTCTCAAAAAAAAAAAAAAAAAGTAAAGAAAGAAAGAAACGATGATGTTTGTGGAGTCTGCATATTTACTGTAAATATATCACTTATAATGAATCATTAATTAATATTAATTTCAAGAAATGTTTTTTAGGCTATGTCCCAACAAACAGCTGACATGTCTTCATATGTTTCAAACTTAGTTGTGGAGTAGGATAAAGTGCTTTCCCAGGCAAGATTCTAGGTCTCATACAAAGCAGGGAATTTGTCTGAAAGTCTATGTCACAGTGAAGGCAGTCCTCCTACTTTACTCTAGACCCAGCTGGGCCCCTTGTAACATGTTCCCTTTCTTTCTCCAAAGCAGCATTTTCCCGTCTTCTCCATTCTCCAGAAATCTTCAACCATCCCTCCCACCCACGAACATCAACCATGTCCCCATCATTCTAATGACTCAACACCCACTGAGAGGGGAAATACAAGCCAACCGACGATAACCACTTCAACTTCCCACCACATGCTAAAGCCTGGCCTCCCACCAGACTATGGAAGCATTCCTCTTTTCTGCAGCTAAGGCCCCTGCCTGTTCTTTGGATCTCAAACTCTTTACTTTCTCAGGAATCTTGCCCTATTGATTTCTCCCTCTCTCTTCCTTCTCCACCTTTCCCTCTCCTATGATATTATTTCAATATTTAAAATGCTCAAATCTTTGCTTAGTAAATGCAAAACAAACAAAAACCCTCCCATGGCCTCTGCTCTTTCTCTCTTCCCCTTTTCAGCCAGTTTTCAGAAACTGTCTACACTTGGCGTCACTACTTTCCTACCTCCCACTCACTCCTCACCCCCACCACATTTCAGCTTATGCCATCAACACTTCTCTCAATCTGCTATCACCAAGGGCACCGATAAACTCCCTTTGCAAAATCCCAGGGACACTGTTTACTCCATTTATTTCTTCACCTCTCAATGTTTGACACTACTGTTTACCATCTCTTGAGCTGCTCTCTTTGCTTGGCTGGATTTTCTTTCTACCTCTCTGGCTATGCTTTTTTTGTGTGCTTCTCTTCCACTGGCCATCTTTTCCCCTTGGTGTTCTGTACTGGGGCATCTTCATTTCTCAATCTACACACTTTCCCTGAGTGGGATTATCTATTCCTTTGGCCTAAATTACCATCTATTTGCCTGTGACTCCCCTATTTATAATTCTGGCCTAGATCTCCCTTGTGAGCTTACATACCTCAGATATGTACATACCTAAAATATGTACATATCGACGTACCTCCTGGACATTTCCACTTAGATATGGGGCCCCCAACCCCTGGGCCTTGGACTGGTACTGGTTTGTGGCCTGTTAGGAACTGGGGCGCACAGCAGGAGGTGAGCAGCACCATGAGCCCCTGTTACTGCCTGAGCTCCACCTTCTGTCAGATTAGTGAGGAAATTAGATTCTCATAGGAGTATCCACCCTATTGTGAACTGCGCATGCGAAGGCTGCACACTCTTTATGAGAATCTAACTAATGTGTGATGATGTGAGGTGGAACAGTTTCATCCGGAAACCATCCCTCCACCCCACCAACGAAACTGGTCCCTGGTGCCAAAAAAGTTGGGGATGTCCTATAGGCGCTTCAAACTCACTTGCTCCAAATTCACCTGCTTTTGCCTCCTAACCTGCTCTTTCTCTTGGGTTTCCATACAACCAGTTGCCTACGTCTAAAATGTGGGTGTCCTTCCTAAATTATTCTCCCTCATATGTGCCCCATTCCTTTTGGGTTTTTTTTGAAATAGGGTCTCTCTGTCACTTAGGGTGGAGTGCAGTGGCATAATCATGGCTCACTGCAGTCTTGACCTCCTGGGCTCACATGATCCTCCCACCTCAGCCTCCAGAGTACCTGGGACTATGAGTGTATGCCACTACCCCCAACTAATTTTCAATTTTTTTTTTTTTTTAGGCGATGGGGTCTCTTGCTACGTTGCCCCAGCTGGTCTGAAACTCCTGGCCTCAGGTGATCCTTCCACCTCGGCCTCCCAAAGTGCTGGAATTACAGGTGTGAGCCACCACCCCATTTCTAATCAAGTTTGACAATAATATCTCTTAAATATACCTGGAATCCATCCACTATTTCCATGTTTACTACCACTGTCCAGACCAAGTCCCCATCTCCTCTAACCAGAATTACTACAGGCATCTCCCAACTGATCTTGCCTCCAGTCTTGTCCTTCCCGAATTCATTCTCCATCCTGCAGCCAGAGTGATCTTTTCTTGAGATAGGGTCTTGCTCTGTCATCCAGGCTGAATGCAGTGGTGTGATCATGGCTTACTGCATGCCATGATCCCAGAGTCAAACAATCCTCTCACCTCAGCTCCTGAGTAGCTGGAACTACAGGTGCACAACATCACACTTGGCTAATTTTTAACTTTTATTTTTTGCAGAGACAGGGTCTTGTTATGTTGCCCAGGCTGGTGTCGAACTCTTGGGCTCAAATGGTCCTCCTGCCTTGGCCTCCCGAAATGCTGGGATTACAAGCATGAGCCACTGCATCTGGCCCAGAATGATCTTTATAAAGTGTAAATCCTTCAGGATGGAGCTCTGATTTCCTGGTGCGGCATGTGTGGCCTCTCATGACCCAGCCAACTTTTAGCAGGCTCTCCTTTGTTCCCTTCCCACTCCAGCTTTCTATCCAGCCTTAATGAACTGATTCTGTATTTTCTGCTAGAAAGCTGTCCTTAGTCTCCATAAGATAAAGTCTTGCTAACTTTTCCTCTGGGGTACCTGCTCTTCTCTATCAATCTCTATATTGTCTATGTTTCTACCTACTGTGGATGAAGTTAAAGTACTTTCTCAGCCACGCTCTTGAGTCTCACACAAAACAGGCAATTTGTCTAAAAATGTACGTCTTGATGGTGGGTACCTTAGGTCAATATATCTCTTAAATGTTTCCTGCTTTTCTACCCCTCCTTCTATCATAGTTCATATTTTTCTTCTCTCTTTAAGCTACAAGGCATGTGAGGCCGTGGCAATCAAATATAGCAGGTCCTCAAATAACATTGTTTCATTCAACATCATTCATTATAATGTTGATGAGAAAAATAATTGATTCCCGGACAAGGTCACTGTCTGTGTGGAGTGTGCATGCTCTCCCATGTCTTCCTGAGTTTCTCCGGGTACTCCAGTTTCCTGCCACATCCCAAAAATGTGCATGCTAGGTGAACTGGCATGTCAAAATGGTCCTGGTGTGAGTGAGCACAGGTGTGGGTGTGAGAGCACCCTGACATGGAATGGAGTCCCGTCCAGGGTGGCTTTGACTTTGCCCCTGAGCTGCTGGAACAGGCCCTGACCATCCACCACCCTGAACTGGAATAAGCAGGTTGCAAAATGAATGAATACAAATTACTGCAAAAAAATAAATATTCAGTCAGGCGCAATCGCTCATGTCTGTAATCCCAGCACTTTGAGAAGCCAAGGCAGGAGGATTGCTTGAAGCCAGGAGTTAGAGACATGCCTGGCCAACAAAGCAAGACCCCGTCTCTGTAAAAAACAAACAAACAAACAAGAAAACCTAGCGAGGTGCCGTGGCATGCATCTGTAATCCCAGCTACCTGGGAGGGTGAAGCGGGAGGATCACTTGAGCTCAGGAGTTCAAGGTTGCAGTGAGCTATGATCACATCACTGCACTCTAGCCTGGGCAATAGAATGAGACCCAATAAATAAATAAATAATCTTAAGCTCAACAATAATCATACAAATGCATGATAATAAAGGAGGTGGTAGGAAAGTACTCAGTGAGCCCAACATATTCATTTTGGTTTGTGCTTGACCTTTGTGGTTGAGAGAGGTGCTCCTTCTAATTTTTGCTTTGAAAACATTTATTCCCTGATTTAACCCACCACCACAATGACTGCTGTCACTCACTGGCTCACCAAAAATTGAGTTAGTAAGTCACTTATTGTTTTTATTTCTCTTTCTTTAATGTACGTATAGTTCACATTTATTTCAATCTTTAATATTAGAAGTGTTTGGGGGTCCTTAGTTAGAAGTTTGGTGAGGTTTGTGACCAGAAATGTGCCTTAGGAGGTTAACTCTTGTTTGTATCAATTAGCCTACAGTAAAATTGATTTTGTTATATATCATTTTGCTTAAAGTTGCAGTTTCCAAGAACCTGCCAATGATGGTAAGTGAGGACTTACTGTACAATTGGTTAAGAATTCAGGCTCTAGAATAAGATTGCCTGGCTTCAAATCCAAGATCTGCAACATCCTGTTACTGTGATCTTAGACAACTTGCAAATTCGAGCCTCAGTTTTCTCATCTGCAAAATGGAGATTATATTGGTGCCTATCTCATAGGCTTGTTGTGAGGATTCAATGAGAAAAGGTAAGTAAAGCATTTAGAATGGTGCCTTGAATGTAGCAAATATTCAATAAGTCTTGGCTGTTATTAATTTTTTTGTTTGTTTGTTTGTTTTTTGAGGCGGGGTCTTGCTCTGTAGCCCAGGCTGGAATGCAGTGATGCCATCATGTCTCACTGCAGCCTTGACCTTCTGGGCTCAAATGATCCTCCTGCTTCAGTCTCCTGAGTAGCTGGGACTACAGGCATGCACCACCATGCCCTGCTAATTTTTTTTTAGTTTTTTGTAAAGACAGGGTCTCCCTATGTTGCCCAGGCTGGTCTCAAATTCCTGGGCTCAATCTGTCCTCCCACTCAGTCTCCCAAAGTGCTGAGATTACAGGCTTGAGCCACCATGCCCAGCATACTGTTATTACTTCTAAAGTCAGATACTGTAGCATTTATCCCCATATGGTTATTTACTCATTATTTATAAAATCAATGTGTCTTAAACCAAAATTCTTAACATTAACCCAAAGGTGAATATTAAATCTATTACACTAAGCACCTTGCATAAAAATTACACCACCTTGGTTGCTGGTCACTTGGAGCTTTTGGAAAATGAGGTCATTCTATTTCTACCCAAGCACTCAGGGAATTATATTCCCTTGAGGAAGGAGGTCTGAATCAAACAGGACACCTCAAGGTTCCTGAAGCCGTCATGACTGAGGTAACGTCTTCTTTATATAAACTGGCAGGTTTATATATTTCTTTATATAAACATGACTGTTAAAAGCAAGTAAACATCAAGATAACTGTTTTAACTTGTTTTCCAGTAATTTAAGAGGACTGGGCCCTCGGTTCTTCCAGTGTCGCAGACACCTGCAATCTCACGCATCCTGCCCCAGGACAGGGATAAGTTCTGCAGGTGCTTTCCTTTTCCAGAGTTACAGAAGCCAGGCCTTAGTTCAAGTTTCACAAGCTTGGGATTTAAAAGTCAAGTTTTGATAATAGAAGTAGTGCCTCTAGATGCTTAGTTTGTTTGGTCTGGGGAGAGAAAGAAACAGAATAGAATTGTATAACAGCGTTGGATTTGTTTCCAAGGACACAATGTAAGAGGGAACTGAGGTGACTTAAGAGAAGTTTCAGAGTAGGAGGAAAAGCTGGAACAGGCATATTTATAGCACCAACCTGCCATATATATATATATATATATATATATATATATATATATATATATATATATATGTAAATAAATAAATGTGCATCCTACTCTTATTACTGCTTGTCTTCCTTATTGGCCTCCTTCCTCTTGTAGGTTTAGACAGACACCGACACAGTATTTCCGTCTTCACAAAGAAAGGCTGGCATCTAGGGAAATGACCTTGATAGACAACTATAAACACAATATTAATCAGAGCAATTTGCTCTTCATTGTGCCCCCTTCCCAATATCCCAAAGCAACCCCAGAAGAGAGGCCAAAAAAAAAAAAAAAAGAAAGAAAAAGCACAATCGCTGGCCATCTAATGAGTGTGCAAATAAAGGTAAAATATTCCAACATGGTCCGAAAATGACCCAAGTCCTGCCTCCAAAGAAAGAGATTTTTAAAGATCAGCTAAATCCTAACAGATTTTATGGCAGCACCTCTGTGCCAAATGGTTTCTGTCTTGGTATCATAGAACAAGGTGTTAAGGAAGATAAAGTCGGGGATTTAATCCACATATAACTAGACACCTTTACTCTTTGTAAATAGTGACACAACCTTTACTCCTAGGACAGCTGTCTTGCAAAGAGCTGTGCTCCAGAGAGTCTGGGGCAGAAAGGGAAAATGAAAAATGAGTACCAGCCTATTGTCAGTAATGGGAAAAGAAAGTACCAACTCACAATCACAGCCTACTGGCAATAAGAGTGGCACATTACATTACTTTGTCCTATACTCTCATTGGACCTGAGCATTATTTTTCAGGTCAACTGAATACTTGATTTCAAAAAGACCAGTATTCTAAATGTTGCCCAAATAAATGTCCTCAAATAGATGTTCCTGCCAGTGTAAAAAATATTTTCTGCTTGAAGGTTGAACACGGAAATGGGAGCCCCTTGTTGCTGCTTGCATAAGAGCCTCTGTGGACAATTTAGCTGCTGTTTTACAAGTCAAAGCTGGCCTTTCACAGGCAGCATTGGTGCCTCCATGTGAGACTGGAAAATTGAGCTGCTCTTTCTCTGCCTCTAGTGACCTGCTGAGTAATAAAGGTTTGTGGAGTTGCTTTGTTTCTTTCTCTTTTTTGTTGTTTTAAAATCAGAGCTAAGCTGACAGTCTTCATGAGGATGGTGGGGAGGGCAAGGGCAAGTTAAAATCCACCTCCAGCTCCCCGGGGAAGGAAGAAGCGGAGAGGCTCATTCCTGTCAGCAGGTGTGAGTCAGACACACAGGGAGCAGCAAAATTGAGTAAGAAGGTGCCATTTTGTCGTCAATGTTCCCACCACCACCGCACAGAAATAAATAGTTTGAGAAAATGATCCCGCATGAAAGAAAGATCTGGTTAGGAGTCAGACAGAATAGAAAGTCCCCATGGAATGCTGCTTCATTACGCAATCCTTCCTTTCACCGAGGGATTCCAACTTTTGGTGGAACCAATTTGACAAGCAAGGGCTGACAGCCTGGGAACCAGAAAAGCTGGCCTCCAAAGTGATTAGTCACTTTGAAGCTCAGTCCTACCATTGTATTGTTAGTTGGTATAAGAAGAACTCGGTTAGCCTCAAGTCTCAGTTTTTAAATCTGGAAACTGGGATCAGTAATCTTTACCAACAGATGAATGTTTCTAAGTAATGCTTGGGTTGGAGACACCATCATTCCCCTTTTTAACTATTCCCCCAAATCTTCCTGGAGACACTGTTTTTCTCTTCCTGTGTATTTTACACTGAAGGTTTGCCTCTCCCACTCTGCTCACTGCTGGAGGGATGGTGAATGGCTTGATGTTTAGATAGCCCACACTAGGTTAGCTTCAAAGGAACCTAAATACACTCAGGACAGAATTGTCCCATAAATGGCTATGAATATTACCAATGTCATAATGGAAGAGACTGGAAATTAATCTGGCAGCTTTCTTCTATTATTCATCATTTTTGTATGCTTCAGCTTTAACTGTTTAGTAAGTTATGCATAGTTCATTTGGAAGATATTTTGAAAGGAGGACCTAAAGTATAGTTAATCCCAGAGAGTGGGAGGTTTATCTATAATTCCTTTCACTTGTTTCATTACAAAGTCCAGAATTTTAAACACAGAACTCCACCAACTATTATTTTACAATTTAGCAGCTCTCCATTGAATATATATTTTTGGACCCCTACTCCAGACTTACTAAAGAAGAATCTTTTGGGATCTTGGGCAAGTATAATTGTGAAAGCGTCCCACATGATTCTGATCAACACACTTGGATAAGAACCATAGATAAGTTACTTGGATCAAATGCACCCCAAGTGACCCTGGTGCACCCTTCCCTTTCTCCACTGATGCTTTTTCCTTCCTCTCGGTTGCTCAGGCCAAAAGCTTTGCAGTTGTCCTTGATTTAACTCTTATTCTCGCATTCCACATCTAATCTATCAGCAAATCTTGCTGGCTCTACTTTCAAAATATATCCTGAAAAAAATATATATGTTTATATACCTAGGATTAATCACTTTTGCTGATACACTATCCCAGTCTATTTTCTACAAGGCAGCCAGTATGGTTCTGTAAAAATTTAAATGAGATCCCTTCATTGCTTTGCTCAAAAAATCTCCCATGATTCCCTCTTTTGCTCAGAGTCAAAGGCAAAGTCCTTACCATGGCACACGGGGCTCTGCTGAGCTGGAGTCTGTCACCTCTCTCCACTCTCCTCCTATGCTCTCCTACTCCAACCATAGCAGCCTCCTTGTTGCTCTAAGCACATTTTCATCTCAAGTCCTCTGCATTGGCTCTTCTCTCGTTTGGAAAAGTTTCTTCTCCACAGATGTCTACATGGCGAACTCCATCACTTCACTCATTCATTCGTTCGTTCGTTTATTAGAAACAGGCTCTTGCTATGTTACCCAGACTGGTCTTGAACTCCCGGCCTCAAGTGATCCTCCCACTTCTGTCTCCTGAGTTGCTGCAATTACAGGTGCAAGCCACTGCACCCAGCTTTCCATCACTTCCATCAAGTCTTTTTCAACTGTCACCTCAATGACCACCTCATGGTTACCCTGACCACCCTAACTGAATTGCAACCTGCCTCCTTCACCACAACTCTCCCAATTGCCCTTATTTTGATCTATGTTTCCCCCGAAAGCACTTGTCAGCTTGTAATATATTATATAACCTACTTATTTTTCTTTATTTTATCTTCCTCAGCTAGACTGTAAGCCCCACAAGGGCAGGAATCTGTGTTTGTTTCATCCACGAATATATCTGAAGCACCCAGAACACTACCTAGCATGTGGTCAGTGCTCAATAAATATTTGTAGTATTTGATACATAAAGATTTTTAAATCCAGAGAGAGCAAACCAGATAAGTGACACACCTTACAGAATGCTGCCTCAACATGTTTGCTCCTAATTGGGTTTGCTACTATGGGGACAATCATAGCTTATATATTTTAAGACCTTTGTGGTGCTGTATCTTACAAATGCCATAAAATATGCTACTCCTGTTTTGGAAGTCAAGAACTGAGAGTTGTTGAACTACTTCTACACGCACAGCCCACAGCTAAATCTATATAGTTGCTGGAAATTTCACTTTAGCAGCACCCCTGCATGTTTGGGGTGAAATAGAATAAGGCATTAGTCCTGTGACCTCCAGTCTGTGCCAGGTCAGTGGGAGTTAAAAGCCAAATTGTTGGAGTGTCCTTTTCTGAAGTGAGTTAGTACCGGAAACTCAAATGCCAAAAAAGAGAGAGAGAAAGAGAGAGGGAGGGAGGGAGAGATTATACTTCACGTATCTATTTTTATGTTATTGGGCTTCATCACAATCTCCCCCTAAAACGGTTGACCCAGCAGGACAGAGAGATCTCAGCAGCCCTCACTTACCCCTGGTGAAAACCACCATCTCGGAAAGCCCTCCGCCTTCCCCCCCTCACAGGACAATGCTCTTAATTAGCTTCACCATATTTCCCAGAGAACAAAAGCTCCCCACCCCTTACAGGAAAAGCTTTTGCAGGAGATATCTCACTGGGGAAGCGCCAGGCGCACAACAGGGAGAGGAGAACATACAGGCTGTTCTGAGCTCTGCAAAGAGACACAAACTCTGGATTCTCTAGGGAGTCTCAGAGGTTAGCCCAGCACATTTTTTCTCCACGTGACAAGCACGTGCTTCATATACCCTGAGGTGGCCAACTTCAGAGGGCCCCTTTCCTCCTCTCTCTCCTTCAGTCACTAGCTGGGGGGCTGGGGTTAGAAACCTTGGGGGTGGCAAAATAAGCTGGAATAATCTTTAGAATTGAGTATCTGAGAAGCAGTAGGAGAGGAACAGGGAGTTTATTTCAGGTGACAGACACAGAGCAGGCCCCTATTTTTTTTTTCCTGAGACTAATAATATTTCTGGAATGAGGATGCTTGAATCATATGTCGCTTCATACCACTGTGTGGGAAGTCTCAGTTATGAGCCCAACAATCAAAGACATGGTGGTGCTTTGAAGACTTGGTGGGGGGCCTTGCAAAGGCGTCTAGAAGCATGCTGGGGGGAGGCATGTGGGGGGGGCAATGTGATTGCAAGCAAAAAGGGCAATTAAGGAAGAAAAAGACTGCCTCACCTTGGCCTGTTTGGGGCCAAAGAAGATGGGGCTGAAAAATCTTCTCTCAACAGTTTTGTTCCTCCCATTAAACGTGTTTTTTGAAAAACAGAGGAAAAAAAATCTTGCTTAAATGCCTCTTCCTGAGTAAGTTCACTGTCAGGAAAGGAAAATCCAAACGCTCGAATATTCTATTTTTGTGTCCAGAGGCTCCAGCCCCTGCACACAGACTCTTCCTCACTCTGAAGGAAAGGAAACTGGGCGGGAGACCTCCCTGTCACAGAGGCCGGAATTGAGGAACCTGTGTCCCTCCAAGGCCTGTTCTCCATACATTCGGCTTCCATTTTAGGAAATGAGGATATAGTGCAGGCTGCTTTGGGATTGGCCTGAGGGTGGAGTTAGTGGTTTAAAAAAAAAAGTGCTCCTTTGACTATTCTCCAGGCAAGCAGCAAGCGCGGAACTAGACTTTAATTAAATTGGGAGGTTTAAACGGCTGCATTAGTATTACACTTCCTCTGGTCATTAAAGTTTACTGCCATCACCTGCTTCTCAGCTAACATGTAGATAAGGACGAGAGGCCTGATTAAGAGTTTTACATTTTGATGTGTGAGCAAAGTGAAAGCTGTAAGTCAGTCATAGCAGTAATAAAACAGCAGTTACCTAGGAAGATAAAGCCCCTCTTCGTACGTTCCACATTAATTTTGTACACTGATCCATACATTTGTCTGTAGTTTCCCCCTCTGCATTGCCTTTATTTAATTAATTTTTTAAATGGACACATAATAATTGTGTATGTTTATAGGATACATAGGAATGCTGCAATACATATAATGTATAGTGATCAGATCAGGATAATTAGCATCTCCATCATCTCAAATATTTATCACTTCTTTGTGTTGGGAACATTCAATAGGCACTGCCTTTAAATGATGGTAAGTGCTAAGGGTGTCCAACCTGGGAACTGGGGTTTGGACCACCACTCTTCCTCTCAATCCAGTGTGGCTCTTCCTCCTTCTGCACTTTACTAGAGATGGCCCTTTTCAAGGACTGTAAGGGACACAGAGAAGGGCAGTCCAGCTTGTGATAGTCACATTTTTAAGCTATTCCTGTTTCCTCTGCCATCCAGCATGGGAAGCAGACCTTAAAAACAGACCTCAGTTTGAAAGGATTTCAAGGGAAGCTGGTAAATGGAGATGGAGGAAGGAAACCGGAAAGGTCCAGTTAAAGAGAGACTGATTCCTATGGCTTTGCTTGTTTATTACTACTCCAAGGTAGCACTGACCCTGGCATAGACAGGTCCTCCTAAAATGCAGATCTTATTAGGGAACCACCATTCCCCTGCTCTTAACCCTTCAGTGGTTCCCCAGTGACCGGAGGATGATGTCTAGGTAGCCCAGTTATGATTTACAAGACTCTTCATGAGCTGGCCCCAGTCTACCGCGAGCTCTCCATGCTGTTCAGCACACCCCCACTACCACGGGGCCAGCCCTACTGCCTTTCTTTCAGTTCCTCAAATATACTGTTTCTTCTCTCCCCCAGCCTTCAAACATGCTCTTTCTCCCTCTGCTCCTAACTCATCCTTCCTTTCATTGGACATTTCTACCCCAGGGAAGCCTTCTGTTACCACCCTGGCTCTGGATTAGGCTTCTCTCCTGTGAACACCCACAAACCTCCTGCTTTACCTACCACGTAACACACTGCTCTGGAATCATTGTGCTTGCTGGCCTGTCTCTCCAACTGAACTGTAAACACATGAGGGCAGCACTAAGCGTTTGCCTTGTCCAGTGTTGTACTCCCAGTAGCTGGCACACAGTAGTGCTCTGCAAGTATTTGTTGAATAAATGGCTACTGTGCAATATGACAATTGAAAGCCCAGTGGTACTTCCCAGATTTACATTCGACATGTTTATTTTAGTTAAGTCACTGCTAAGACACAGGAAGGGCCCTGAATTAGACATGTGTTGTAATTAGGCTGCCCTGACCTCCTCTTCTCCCTTTCACTTTATTCCAAGGCCCTCTCTCATCCCACCTTTTCCACGATGCCTTCTCAGGAATCCTGGTTTGCAGTCATCCGAGTCAGCTTAGGGGCCACTCCCTGTGTGTACATTTACTGGCAAACGTCTGCGTCAGATTTTGTAATTTAAAAAAAATTTTTTTTACTGTTCATTTGAAAATTACTATTAATTATAATTGCTTTTAAATGATTTTACAATTTTGTCTTATCTTTTCCAGGTTTTTCTTGATAGTAGGAAGGATGTTTTCTTTTATTAATCCTGTTGATACCTAATGCTTTTGCAGTACACAATTTGTGTTTAATGAATACACACGAGATAACTTAAACTCTAATTTTTCTTTAGAAATTGAATTTATTATAGTGCCATTGTGGAAATGAATACTAGATCTGTTTGGTGATGTGGCAACTGCACTAAGTTTCTTAAAGGAAACTGTGGTTCCAGGATGGGCTTGGAAGCTGTAGCCCAGAACTATGTGGGCACCGCATCCCTGGTGGGTTGGCAGGAACAGGAAGCCCGCAGCCAGAAAAAACATTGTTCCATGGTGCCCTCTAGTGAGCCAAGGCGCCACCAGGTCAGAAGTCAGGGCCAGAGGCCCTCCAACCTCGGCAGGAAGCAGGATCATCCGGGGAGCCTGACAAAACTGTAGATGTCAGTGCTCCTTCCCAGAATGCCAAGCCAGCAGGGAGATCAAGCCCTTCAATCAGCATCTTCAGGGATCTGATGCACACAGTCCTCAGATCACACTTTGTGAAGTACTGACTAGGTGATGCTCATCAGAAAAAAACTCTCCAGATACATAATCTGAGAACACCCACGCCCATTCTTCTGCTCCTAGGGATGGATCACTGACTTCTTGCTTACTACTCAAGGATGGATTTGGATGAGAAAGACAGAGAGAGGAGAGAGAGAGAGAGGGAAGAAACAGTGTCTACATCTCTGGTATGAATCCAGTACACACAAGAATATTGAGCAGCAAAAAATGGATGGAAACACTGAGCGAATGTTTTAGGGAGGATTGTGTCACCCTCTTTTGATACCTATCTCCAATCCAATAAAGCACTAATGAAGAGCGCTACTTTCCTCATTTTGTACCCTTCCTGGCAACAAGGGTGGGGAGGTGCCTGGCTTTTATCAAGCAAACCATCCACGGCCACCACTATGTCAGACTTTTAAAGTATATCATCTCTAGAAGTCCCTGGAATCATAGAGAGTGAGGCATTCTTTGTACCATACAGAGGGAAGGATTGCTGGACAACTGGTTCAAGCATAGGCAACAGAGAGAATTCACTTTCATGTGTCTGTATTTATGTTCTGTTAACAAACTCACTGTAAAGATAAATACGGTAACAACTGCATCACTTTCTCATTCATAAAAAGGGCCAATTCATGACCAGAAACCCAATAGACAGTGCTCATCAATGACAAAAAAAAAAAAACCACTTCAAATCCCCACCAGTACTTTTCTTCCTTCCTCTTGAAAATTTTATTATTATTATTATTATTATTTATTTATTTATTTATTTTTGAGACAGAGTCTCGCTCTGTTGCCCAGGCTGGAGTGCAGCAGCACAATCTCAGCTCACTGAAGCCTCTACCTCCCGGGTTCAAGCGATTCTTGTGCCTTAGCCTCTTGAGTAGCTGGGATTACAGGCATGTACCATCACATCCACCTAATTTTTGTATTTTTAGTAGAGATGGGGTTTCACCATGTTGGTCAGGCTGCTCTCTAACTTCTGGCCTCAGGTGATCTGCCCGCCTCGGCCTCCCAAAGTCCTGGGATTGCAGGGGTAAGCCATCACGCCCGGCCTCCCTCTTGATAATTTTAAATGAAGGCTGCCGCTTTACTAAGGGGCTGTTCACAAACTAAAATGTTTGTTGAACCTTGCGAGGTGATAAATTACTCTGATGTGAAGTCTACTACTCAAGTGTAAGTCTTTTATGTACTTGTTCATGTGTTAATTTTACCTAATGAATTCATTTAAACGGCAAAACTACATTTATTGAATGTCTACTATATGTCTGGACACTGTGTTGGGCTCAAGAAGTATAAAGGAGCACTGGGTAAGGCTGACTGCCTATACAGGGGTCAGCGTCTAGAGGGGACATTATCTGATGCAGTGTGATGGGTACTCTACCAGAAATATGAACCCAGGGCTAGGATAGCACAGGACAATTATTACCTCTCTCCATGGGAACCAGCTGAATAGAGAAATGCTATCACAGACACACTCTAATATTCTAATACTTGATGAACGTTGGAATTTTCATGGGGATTAGTTAAGACCACATCATTAATTTTCAAATGTTTTAAGACAAAAGAGTTATCAAATCTCTGTTCTCACACATAATGTTTTTTTAATCTCCTCCATTCCCCGTGACTGTAGCTTTTTTTTTTTTTTTTTTTTTTTTTGTGGTTTGAAACAAACTATGAGGTGCTGGGCTGATGCCATCTGATTTCAGTCTTGCTTATTTGCTTGTCCGGAAAACTTTAAGCATAGACTCACAGAGCCCTTAATGAGAATGCTCATTAAAAAGCCGTCTGAAATGGTGAAACAAATTACATGCACAACACAGCCCACTCTTTTCCTCTTCATTTCCTTCTTTCCCTCCCAGCCTGCAGCATTATAAACGACAAGGTGAAGTGAATCATCAGGTCAAAAAAAGGCACTGCCGAATGGGTCTATCCGTACCTCGTCGCTTTGATGACATTTCTCTTGCTTCACTGCAGCACTAAAATGTTGCCCAAACAGCAGGAGGGCCCTGCACAAGTAATGATGGCCTTGGTTAAAGCCTTTGATTGTGTGTATTTGGGTGGAACTTTAACTTGTAATTGCCGAATGCACACACTGTCTGATTTCAGAGCCTCTCCCTGGAAGGCTTGTTTATTCCTGGTAAAGGCAAAATTTCCTTCTTTCCAGGTGTATCTTTGACCACTTTATGAAGGTTTCTTCAGGAGTATTACTTCAGGATGGTAGAGATCATATTCAGGGCAGGCCTGGCTACAAGGCATCTTATTAAAACACTCTCCACCCCTGGGTCTGTGAGGAAACCTGAGGGAAATCGGGAGTTTCAGGAGCTAGGACATATTTCCTGCCTCCCAGCTTAACAGGAAGTGATGGTGACGGCTGTCCACTGGGAGGAAGAGAGGGGAGGTGGGTGTTTTTTTTTTTTCTTCTTTTATCCTGGGGTATGCAAAAGGAAGGCTACAGATGCCAAACAATCCTTCCACACCTGGTAGCTGGGGCAATATTTGTGGGGAAAAGGAAATCCTTCCCTCCATCTTGCTCCTTAATTTATAGAATTCACTGGGGTTGAGGCACTTATAATTAAATACTTGCAACACTGCTTTTTTTCTCTGCTGAGGTAGAGAGACTACCACCTTTAAAGTCAGAAGACTGGGGTTTAGGCCCTGACTTTTTATTGATTGCTCTTGGTTTGACTCTTAAGAATTCACCAAACATTTGTAAATCTGTGTCTACCATATGCCAGGTACCTAGCTAGGCACTGAGAATACACAAATAGCGAAGTCACAGTCTTGACCCTGAAGTTTTTCATAATCTCCTGGGGAAGGCATACACACAAACAGTCACAGCACAATGTGATGTGAGCTTTACTGAAGCTAGGAAAGAGCCACTGTGAAAGCAAGAGGAAGGGGAATGCACATGTTTTCAAGGTGGGGCAGCAGAGTGAGAAGGTGAGAGGTGGTCGGACTGCTGCTAGGGAGGGTTTCACAAATCGGAAGCCTGAGCAGGATTTTAAAGAAATCCTGTTCACTTGGAGAGATGGAGACACACACACACACACACACACACACACACACACACACACACACAGAGAAGGGTGGTAGAAAGAGCCCCGATAGACAGCATCAAAGTGTGGCAGAGGAGAAGAAGCTGAGGACAAGACTGAGAAGGAGCAGGCTGGGAAGCAGGAGGAGAAAGAGCAGAAAATGGCTTTGAAAGCTAAAGAAGCCAACTATCATAGGGACCGATGAGCATCCCTTGGACTGAGCATATGGGAAGTCACAACAATTTCACTGGCCTTTGGGGGTTGATCACAATAGGATGAGTAAATGGAAGGAGACCAATGGAGCTAACAAGCATATTCTTAATGTTTGGTGGACTTGGCTGTGAGGAGGAGATGATGGCTAGACAGAGATAAGGAATGAAGGAAGCCTTTCGTTGTTTTTGTTTATGACTGAAACGTGGGCATCATTATATGCCACAGTGGAGAGGGAGGAGTTAACCTACAGGACAGAGATGGGATTAAATGGGGTGAATGCCTACTTCACAGAGTCGTTCTGAGGATTAAATGAGATCCCCTTGGTGAACCCCTTGGTGAACCCTTTCTCTAAAGAGATACACACATGTGAAGTATGATTATCCTGCTGTTGAAATGAAACCATGCATCATCACAAGGCATTTGAGCTCACTTATCACTTGGCTGCTGAGATAGGCAAATCTCCCTCTCCATAGCCTTTTTGTATGCACTGCTTTCCTATTTCCTCTTGCCATGGCTTTAAACATTAGAGCCCAATAATTACTTGAGCTCTCCTTGACATTTCTTCCTGACAAACAACACAACTCACCAGTTCCCCCGGATCACAACAGGAAGCTGGGGGTTGATAAGTGAGAAGCGATTAAGGGGAGGACGAGAGCCTCCTCATTGTTATTATGAAGTGGAATTAACATCCAGACCTCTTGGGAACTTTGCCTTGTCAGGTTATTAGCTTTTCATCAGAGAACCATAAAGACACAGGGACCATGATGTACAATGTCCCCTCACGGACACCTGCGTCCCCTTTCCCATCTCAATTCACGAACTGTAAGTCCCACCGCGGCAGAGACTTTTGTCTGCTTTGTTAGCTGCTGTGTCCCTAGTGCCTAGAACAGTGACTGGCACATGGAGAGTGTCTAAAAAATATGCAGTAAGTGAATGATTCACCCATTCCTCTTTCAACTGATTCAATAAAAATGAGTGTATACTATGGATCAACCACCAAATGTATCCTAGATAAACACAGTTAAAGAATACTTGTTATCATTTAAACAATGTATATTCTGTGCCAGGCACTTTACATACATTAGTTCATATAATCGCCATCATTTTACAAATGGGGAAACGGAGACTCAGAAAGAAGTCACTTGGTTGAGGATATGTGATTGGAGAGTGAAGAAGCTAGAATTCCTGACTGCTGGAATTCCAAAACCTATACTCTTTCTACAACAGCCTCATCCCTCATCATTCTCCAGCTCAAACCGTAACTTCAATTGTAAATGACCACTTGCAATTCCTTGACCATGCCATGTTCTGTCGTGTGTACTCCTTTGCCTGGGACACATTTAGCTGTGCCCTCTGGCTGGGTAATTCTTCTTCATTCTTCTTCTCTGAGGCTTTCCTGAAATGATGTCCTCTGGCTGGGGTAGGCTGACCTTCCTCTCTGCTCCCATATCGCCTCTTGCAGCCCTTCATCACAGAACATATCACAGGCATTTGAGATGCCTCCTTATGCGAACTTCGCTCCACTAAACAGTGAGAGGCTCAAGGGCAGGGACAGTGTCTTCATAACAAAAGCTGCTATTGATTGAGTGCTGCCACAAACGTGCTTACTTTGTTTAATTTTCACGACCACTACCTGAGGTGGGAATTATTATGCTTCTTTTTTTTTTTTTTGAAATGGAGTTTTGCTCTTGTTGTCCAGGCTGGAGTACAATGGCATGATCTCGGCTCACTGCAACTTCTGCCTCCTGGGTTCAAGTGATTCTCCTGCCTCAGCCTCCCGAGTAGCTGGGACTACAGGCATGCACTACCACACCCGGCTAATTTTGTATTTTTAGTAGAGACAGGTTTTCTCCATGTTGGTCAAGCTGGTCTCGAACTCCCGACCTCAGGCGATCCGCCTGCCTCGGCCTCCCAAAGTGCTGGGATTACAGGCGTGAGCCACGGCTCCCAGCCTATTATGCCTCTTTTTTTTTTTTTTTTTTTTTTTTTTTTTGTGAGATGGAGTCTCACTGTCACCCAGGCTGGAGTGCAGTGGCCTGTTATCAGCTCACTGCAACCTCTGCCTCCTGGGTTCAAGCAATTATCCTGCCTCAGCCTCCTAAGTAGTTGGGTTTACAGGCACGCACTACCATGCCCAGCTAATTTTTTATTTTTAGTAGAGATGGGGTTTTACCATGTTGGTAGGGCTGGTCTTGAACTCCTGACCACGTGATCCACCTGCCTTGGCCTCCCAAAGTGCTGGGATGACAGGCATGAGCCACTGTGCCTGGCTTATTATGCCTCTTTTAAAGATGTGGAAATGGAGGCTCAGAGAAGTTAGATAACTTTAACAAGGTCACAGTGAGTAAGTAGCTAACCCAGGAATTAAACATAGTTACATCTTAATCCAAAGCCCAAATTTTCACTTCGCTATGCTGTCGTTGGAATTATCTACAATGCTCACAGCTTAGCTGTGGGGGTAAATAGATAAATACCACCTGAACATTGAGATTAGCAAGCTACTACAGGTTGGTACAAAGTTCTTTGGAGTGACATATGGAAGGGAATAATTTGTTCCCTTTGGGGGAGGTGGGAGATGGAAGAGCTTCATAAGGTTGCCAGAATGCTTGGGAATTTGTCAACTGAATTAATAATGATGGTTCAAGGTGGAAGACAGTTCCCTGCATCTAATCCTGGTGGTTGGTTTTAAGGGCCACAACAGCCATTGCCCAGGTCACTACTGCTTCCAAGTTGGCCCATCTGGGTGCCAGGAATGCAGCCCAAATGCCTGCTGGTACCTGCTTAAGTGATGACTGGTAACCAGGCAACCCTGTCAGCACATTGTTTCATTGAAATCATATTTGTGAGTGTGTGAATATGAAAACAACTTTACATAATCACAGTTTTAATCTTGCACAATATACTTTACATTTAAATGAAATAAGTGTATTTTCAAGCTTATGGCTATATGGAATAGTGCAGCAACCCCTAATTATGTGTTAGCTTCTCTTCCTGCTCTTGTCCCTTAACTACAGGCATCCCTGGAGGCTGCTTTCTGTATTCTCTCCTCCAGGGAATTAATCTATTTTCTAGGCTTGAATGACTGTAAAATTCCTATAAAATGAGGCTTAAAACTGCAAGCAAAGCATTGCTTTAAAATATATTGTATAATACCTTCTTTGTCTGCTCTTGGGGGTATTTGTCAGGGAAAGCACAGTAGGCAGCCGGATACTGTTGTAGGGGCTCTGGTACCAGGCAATTAGGATGATTCTAAACTGCTCCATTTCCCAGCTATGTGGCCTTGGGCAAGTTACTTGGCTTCCTTAAGCCTACATTCCTGATCTATAAAAGAGCAAAAATAATAGTATCTTAGTCATAGAACTATTGGGTGGATTAATGAAATCATGCAAAAGCACTTAGTGACTGGTTTGTTAGAAAAAACCAGTAAGTGCTACTGTTTATTTACATATTTACCTACTTGTTTATTTTTGTTAGAGACAGGGTCTCTCTCTGTTGCCCAGGCTGGAGTGCAGGGGCACAATCATGGCTCACTGCAACCTTGAACTCCTAGGCTCAAGCGATTCCCTCTCCTCAGCCTTTCTAGTAGCTGGGACTTCAGGCGCATGTCACCATGTCTGGCACTAATTTTTCTATTTTTTTTTTTCATAGAGGTGGGGGGTCTCACTATGTTGCCCAGGCTGGTCTCAAACTCCTGGCCTCAAGTGATCCTCCTGCCATGGCCTCCCAAAGTGCTGGAATTATAGGTGTGAGTCACCATGCCCAGCCAGTGCTACTTGTGATGATTATTATTACTCTCATGGTTAGCAGGGTGAACAAATTTGGGTGACAGTGATTTGAAACCTATGAAGCACTATAAAAATGTGAAATATTATCACTATTATGGATACTGCTGAGGAGTGAGATCTAAACAGCATGGTATTAAGAGCAGTGAACAGGAAGTCAGGAAAGCCAGATCCCAATGCTACTCCTGTCACTAATCAGCAGTGTGACCTTGGGCCAGTCTCTCCCCTAACCTCAGGTTTTTTTACTTGTAAATAAAGTGGTTTGATTAGATTATCTCGAAGACCCATTCCAGCTCCGAAATTCTATGATTCCATGACTTTTGGAGCAAATAACTTATGTAGAAATCTTATACATTTCCTGGAATAGAGTAGGTCAATATACATTATATATTAATGGCCAAAGTACATTTCTGAAGTTGATAAAAGTTAACACCAATTGCAACAATCAGAAAGAGCATTCCTAGGGGAATGCAGTGAAAAAGCAAACTACTCCTACCCACCTTAGGAATTTTGAAGGACATCATTGTGGCAGAAGAGAATTTATATCTAAAATGGCAATACTGAACTAGTCATAAAGAAGATGAGATTATGTTCAGCATTTGTATACTTAGCTAAAGAAGTGGGTGCAGTAACCCTTAAAATTGTCTGGATTTGGGCTTTGGATAGTTATGTTGTGGCTGGCAGCTCCTCACACCTTCCTACCATTTACTGAGTACCTGCCATGTTCCAGGAGTGGTGGTAGGCTCTGAGGCTACTGAGACAGTCTCTATTCTCAAGGGACTGACAATCTATCGGGTAAAGCATTTTAACTGTGGAGGATACTTTTGCATTTTCTGCATATTCCTGCATGATGCTTACATTGTTTATATATTGTTTGTCTATTATTCTGTGAAAACATAGCTGTTTGTGTATTCAGCTTTGGCTTGCTTCCCCACCCTCAGCCCTCCACCAGCTTCTGGATGTTAAATATTATCTCTTCATGTGAGCTGTACCAGAAGGAAGAGTCATCTGTTACTCTTTTACTTCCTTAATGAGCCCTCAAGCTGGTTTGCAGGGCAGCTATCTATACTTTCTTTCTTTTTTTTCCCAGAGGACAGATTGGTTCAGATATAGCTGCTTGGTCTTATTCTCTCCCAGGACTCAAATTTTATTCTTCTTGTCCCCTCTCCATCTTACCCTCAAATAAAATAAAATAATCAGAAACAATCACCAAAACTAGATAGTAGGGTGTGGTGGCAGCACTTTGATGGATAGACCAAATATTTCTTTTGCTACTATAGCAACTACTATTAAATGCCTTGTCACACATCTTTGATTCTCTTTGGAAATGTGAAGGTTATTTTGCATATGTGCTTAAAATCACCTCAATTACTGAAAATACTTTCATCTCCCTCCAAGATTCTTCTTAATGGGGCTTTTACTATTTTCTTTAGATATTGTTATAAATGCAGAATGCAGTCTTGACCGTTTTCTCCAAACTATTTGATTTCTCTAAATATTCTCATCCCAAATATTTTCATATTATCTGAGAATGACAAGGATATTATGAAAATCATAATTGAAAAATTTTCCATAAAACAATTAAAAATAAAAAGTTTGATTCTTAAAGATTTTTTTGTTATCTAGAAAATTGATAACAGATAACTCAATGTTTATTGAACAATTCATTAGATAAACCAGTATTAAATGGCTGTGTCAGGTATTGTGAAAAGTACTGCAAACATAAAGGAGATTAAGAAATGATTGCTACTTTCAAGGAGTTCAATTAAGAGCTGCTTGCTTTATACCTTGTATAAATAGTTAATATTTTACAAAACACTTTCCATATGTAATAACTCATTTCATCCTCAGAACAATAAATCCTGGTTTCATACTTAATAAACTTGCAGTTTCTTGTTGCTCACTGCTTTTTTTTTTTTTTTTTTTTTTTTTTTTTTTTTTTTTTTTTTTTTTTAGACCAGGTCTCACTCTGTTACCCAGGCTGGAGTGCAGTGGAGCAATTCCAGCTCACTGCAATCTCCACCTCCCGGGTTCAAGCCATTCTCATGCCTCAGCCTCCCAAGTAGTTGGGACTACAGGTGTATACTACCACAGTTGGCTAAGTTTTTGTATTTTTGGTAGAGATGGGGTCTCATTGTCATGCACGTCTGTGTGAAGAGACCACCAAACAGGCTTTGTGTGAGCAACAAGGCTGTTTATTTCACCCGGGTGCAGGTGGGCTGAGTCCGAAAAGAGAGTCAGCAAAGGGTGGTGGGATTATCATTAGTTCTTATAGGTTTTGGGGTAGGCGGTGGAGTTAGGAGCAATGTTTTGTGGGCAGGGAGTGGATCTCACAAAGTGCATTCTCAAGGGTGGGGAGAATTACAAAGAACCTTCTTAAGATGTGGGGGAGATTACAAAGAACCTTCTTAAGGGTTGGGGAGATTACAAAGTACATTGATCAGTTAGGGTGGGGCAGAAACAAATCACAATGGTGGAATGTCATCAGTTAAGGCTATTTTCATTTCTTTTGTGGATCTTCAGTTGCTTCAGGCCATCTGGATGTATACGTGCAGGTCACAGGGGATATGATGGCTTAGCTTGGGCTCAGAGGCCTGACATTCCTGTCTTCTTATGTTAATAAGAAAAGCAAAACAAAATAGTGGTTAAGTGTTGGAGAGGTGAAAAATTTTGGGGGTGGTATGGAGAGATAATGGGCGATGTTTCTCAGGGCTGCTTCGAGCGGGATTAGGGGTGGTGTGGGAACCTAGAGTGGGAGAGATTAAGTTGAAGGAAGATTTTGTGGTCAGGGGTGATATTGTGGGTGATTAGAAGGAGCATTTTTCATATAGAATGATTGGCGATGGCCTGGATACAGTTTTGGATGAATTGAGAAATTAAACAGAAGATATAAGGTCTGAATAAAAGAAGGAGAAAAATAGGTATTAAAGGACTAAGAATTGGGAGGACCCAGGACATCCAATTAGAGAGTGCCCAAGGGGGTCCAGTGTAATTACTTACTTGGTTGGTGAGTTTTTGGGAAAAGACCATTAGTCTGTTTTATCTTTCCTGAAGATTGAGGACGGTCAGGGGTATGAAAGTTCCACTGAATACCAAGAGCCTGAGAAATTGCTTGGGTATTTGACTAGTAAAGGCTGGTCTGTTATTGGACTGTATAGAGGTGAGAAAGCCAAACTGAGGAATTATGTCTGACAAAAGGGAAGAAATGACCATGGTGGCCTTCTCAGACCCAGTGGGAAAGGCCTCTACACATCCAGCAAAAGTGTCTACCCAGATCAAGAGGTATTTTAGTTTCCTGACTTGGGCATGTGAATAAAGTCAATTTGCCAGTCCTGGGGGTGGCAAATCCCCGAGCTTGATGTGTAGGGAAGGGAGGGGGCCTGAACAATCCCTGAGGGGTAGTAGAATAGCAGATGGAACACTGAGAAGTGATTTCCTTAAGGATAGATTTCCACAATGGAAAGGAAATGAGAGGTTCTAAGAGGTGGGCTAGCGGCTTGTAACCTACATGGAAGAGGTTATGAAATGACGATAGAATAGAATGGGCCTGTGAGGCAAGAAGGAGATATTTTCCTTGGTCCAAGAAGCATTTGCTTGTGTGGGAAGAGATTGATAGGTGGAAGTTTCAGTGGGAGAGTAGGTGGGAGTGACCAGATGAGAAGGAGAAAAACTGCCGTGAGGGATAGAAGTTGGAATGCTAACTGCTTCTTTAGCTACCTTATCAGCATAAGTGCTGCCCCTAGCAATGGGATCTGATGCCTTTTGGTGGCCCTTACAGTGTATGACTCCAGCTTTCTTTGGAAGTAAGGCAGCCTTGAGAAGAGTTTTCATTAAAGAGGCATTAATGATGGAGGACCCTTGCGTAGTAAGGAAACCTCTTTCAGCCCATATAACAGCATGGTGGTGCAGGATATGGAAGGCATATTTGGAGTCAGTATAAATATTGACACGTAATTCCTTTGCAAGAGTGAGGGCTCGAGTTAAGGCAATGAGTTCGGCTTGCTGAGAGGTAGTGGAGGGAGGCAGAGCAGTAGCCTCAATGATAGATGTGGAAGATACTATAGCATAGCCTGCTTTTGCTGGTGAGTGGCAATTAGGCCTGGTGGAACTGCCATCAATAAACCAAGTGTGATCAGGGTGAGGACCAGGAAAGAAGGAAATATGGGGAAGTGGAGTGAATGTCAGGTGGATTAGAGAGATACAGCCATGGGGGTCAGGTGTGGTATCAGGAATAATGTAGAGGCTAGCCTAAAAAGGTAAGGTCAAGTTGTTTGGATGGAAAGGCTACAGGGTGTGGTCCCAGCTCTTGTGTAAGAATTTTGACTGCACAGCCCTGTAGTTTGGCTGTGTGTAATGAAAAGGGTCGGGATGAGTTAGGGAGAGCTAGTGTGGGAGCAGCTTCTAGGGCTGTTTTTAAGGAATGGAAAGAGGAGTGGGGAAAGGATTTAGGATCTATGGATTCAGCTAGGTTTGCTTTTGTGAGTTTATATAATGGTTTAGTCAGGATGGTAAAACTAGGTATCCAAAGGCGGAAGTACCTAACCATGCATAGGAAGGAAAGGAGTTGTTGTTTTGTAGAAGGGGTTGGGTTTGGGAGATTAGCCAGACACAATCAGCAGGGAGAGCACGTGTGTTTTCATGAAGAATTATGCCGAGATAGGTAACGGATGAGGAAGAAATTTCGGCTTGACTGAAGTAATGGGAGCTGTCTGTGAAGCCTTGTGGCAGTATAGCCCAGGTAATTTGCTTAGCCTAATGGGTGTCAGGGTCAGTTCAAGTAAAAGTGAAGAGAGGCTGGGATGAAGGGTGCAAAGAAATAGTAAAGACAACATGTTTGAGATCCAGAACAGAATAATGGGTTGTGGAGGGAGGTATTGAGGATAGGAGAGTATATGGCTTTGGCATCACAGGTTGGATAGGCAAGACAATTTGGTTGATAAGGCACAAATCCTGAACTAACCTGTAAGGCTTGTCTGGTTTTTGGACAAGTAAAATGGAGGAATTGTAAGGAGAGTTTATAGGCTGTAAAAGGCCGTGCTGTAACAGGCAAGTGATAACAGGCTTTAATCCTTTTAAAGCATGCTGTGGGATGGGATATTGGCATTGAGTGGGGTAAGGGTGATTAGGTTTTAATGGGATGGTAAGAGGTGCATAATTGGACGCCAAGGAGGGAGTAGAGGTGCCCTATACTTGTGGATTAAGGTGGGGAGGTACAAGGGGAGGAGGCGAAGGAGGTGTTGAACTGGGGAAAAGGGTGTAAATGAGGTGAGGCTATAGGCTAGGAATAGTCAGGGAAGCAGATAATTTAGTTAAAATGTCTCAGCCTAATAAGGGAGCTGGGCAGGTGGGGATAACTAAAAAGGAGCGCATAAAAGAATGTTGTCCAAGTTGGCATCAGAGTTGGGGAGTTTTAAGGGGTCTAGAAGCCTGGCCATCAATACCCACAACAGTTATGGAGGCAAAGGAAATAGGCCCTTGAAAAGAAGGTAATGTGGAGTGAGTAGCCTCCATATTGACTAAGAAGGGGTCGGACTTACCCTCCACTGTGAGAGTTCCCGAAGCTCGGCATCTGTGATGGTCTAGGGGGGCTTCCAAGGCAATCGGGCAGCATCAGTCTTCAGCTGCTAAGTCAAGAAGATCTGGGAAGGAATCAGTCAGAGAGCCTTGGGCCAGAGTTCCAGGGGCTCTGGGAGTGGCTGCCGGGTAAGTTGGACAGTCCAATTTCCAGTGGGGTCCCGCACAGATGGGACATGGCATAGGAGGAATCCCAGGCTGCAGGCATTCCTTGGCCCGGTGGCCAGATTTCTGGCACTTGAAGCAAGATCCTGGGGCAGGCAGTCCTGGAGGAATGCCTGGCCGCCGCAGTTTAGGCATTTGGAGTTCTTGTGTGCTGGAGATGTGGCTGGGGTTTGTCTCACGGTGGAGGCAAAGAATTGCAACTCAGAAATACGTTGCTACTTGGCTGCCTCTACTCTATTATTGTACACCTTGAAGGTGAGGTTAATTAGGTCCCGTTGTGGGGTTTGAGGGCCAGAATCTAATTTTTGGAGCTTTTTCTAATGTCGCCAGTGGATTGGGTAATAAAATGCATATTGAGAATAAGACGGCCTTCTGGCCCTTCTGGGTCTAGGGCAGTAAACCGTCTAAGGGTTGTTGCCAAACGGGCCATGAACTGGGTTGAGTTTTTATATTTGATGAAAAAGAGCCTAAACCCTGATTTGGGAGAGGTCGGAAAAAGGAGCATTTACCTTGGCTATGCCTTCAGCTCCAGCCACCTCTTTAAGAGGAAATTGTTGGGCAGGTGGGGGAGGGCTAGTGGAGGAATGTAACTGTAAACTGGACCGGGTGTGAGGAGGGGAGGTGATAAAAGGATTATAGGATCGGGGAGCGGAGGCTGAGGAAGAATTGGGACCTGGCTCAGCCTGGTGAGGAGCAGCCTGGGTAGGAGGGGAGAGGTTAGATGGGTCTGTAGAAAAGGAGCATTCAAAGGACTCAGAGCTTGGGGTGGAGACTGAAGGAACAGACCGCAGAGAAAGAAGAAAGATTTGGGATGAGTCGCATTGGGAGCAGAGACTAAGGAGGGACCAGTGTATGAAACAATGCCTGGATGTCAGGCACATCAGACCCATTTGCCCATTTTTCAACAAAAATCATCCAGGTCTTGTAAAATGGAGAAATCAAAAGTGTCATTTTCTAGCTATTTAGAACCATTATTGAGTTTGTATTGGGGCCAAGCGGTGTTGCAGAAGAAAATAAGACGCTTAGGTTTTAGGTCAGGCGAGAGTTGAAGAGGTTTTAAGTTTTTGAGAACACAGGCTAAGGGAGAAGATGGGGGAATGGAGGGTGGAAGGTTGCCCATAGTAATGGAGGTAAGTTTAAAGAGAAAGGTAGAGACATGGAGAAGGGAGTAGGTGAGCAGCCAAAGCAGGTGTCCCCGCAATTGACTTGCCACCAAAGGAATGTGGGTGAATGACCAAGGCAGGCGTCCCCGCGGTGATCAGACACCAATGGAGTGTGAGTGAATAATCAGGCAGGCGTCCCCGCAGTGATTAAACACCAAGGGAAGACTGTCTTCCCAAGTCCGTGACTGGCGCTGGAGTCTACAGATAAAATGTGTTTCCTTTGTCTCTACTAGAGAGGAAAAAGAACTGGAGTTGGAAGGACTGGGAGATTGAAGGGTAGCGAGAGAGGGAGATTGAAGGGTAGCAAGAGAGGCTGGAGAAGAGAGTGAAAAGACCGCTTACCCAATTTGAAATTCATGAGATGTTCCTTGGGCTGGTTGGTCTGAGGACCCGAGGTTGCAGGTGGATCTCCTCAAGGAGTGAGGGCGAGGACAGGGGAAGGGGACTGGTCTCCCGAAGGAGTCCTCCTGTCCCGGGTTTCAGCACCCAATGTCATGCACGTCCATGTGAGGAGACCACCAAATAGGCTTTGTGTGAGCAACAAGGCTGTTTATTTCACCTGGGTGCAGGCGGGCTAAGTCCGAAAAGAGAGTCAGCAAAGGGTGGTGGGATTATCATTAGTTCTTATAGGTTTTGGGGTAGGCGGTGGAGTTAGGAGCAATGTTTTGCGGGCAGGGGGTGGATCTCACAAAGTACATTCTCAAGGGTGGGGAGAATTACAAAGAACCTTCTTAAGGGTGGGGGAGATCACAAAGTACATTGATCAGTTAGGGTGGGGCAGAAACAAATCACAATGGTGGAATGTCATCAGTTAAGGCTATTTTCACTTCTTTTGTGAATCTTCAGTTGCTTCAGGCCATCTGAATGTATATGTGCAGGTCACAGGGGATATGATGGCTTAGCTTGGGCTCAGAGGCCTGACAATTATCTTGCCCAGGCTGTGAGCTCCTGGCCTCAAGCGATCCACCTCCCTCGGCCTCTCAAAGTGCTGAGATTACAGGTGTGAGCCACTGCACCCAGTTGCTCACTGTTATTTGGCAACCAGAATGTTCACTTTGATGATAACATTAGTATTTCTCCATTATTCCTGGTTTGATTTTATATGTCTAATGATTAACAGTTCACAAAGTGCTTTATTGTCTCATTGGAAACACAAGTTTTTTCAACTTCTCAGCTTCTAGTCATTGTTCTAGTCTTCCTCTTGTGGGAAGGGGGAGAGGACTAAAATGACTTCTCAAATTCCTTGTGAGTGCTATTAAAATAACAGTAAGCTCTGTTGTATATCCAAGGTGAGGACCTTGCTCTTGTACTCCTTTTCCCCAGAGCCTTTAGGCTATAATCTCAGAAGTTCATTCCTACTTCATTTTTGCTCTCCATTTTCCCTTTATTCCATTCCTGATCATGCCTTCCAGGTCATGCTCTATCTGGGAATTCTGTTTCTGTCAAAAAATAGAAGGAATTTAGAACTTAGGGATTATTCTGCCCGATGTGTTCATTTTACAGAGGAGTTCACTGAGACAGAGAGCCAAGAAATGTCAATGTTAAACCCGCAAATAAGTGGGAGAGCTGGGCTTGAACCTGAGACTACTCTTCTGCCAGATGTCTTTTAAAGACATCAGGCTGTCTTTAAAAGTTACCTGTCAAACGAAATATTCTCTCCAACATAATGTGTGCTTCTCTTATATAGCTAGCCTATAAATATTTGGTTACTGTTGCAATAGAGATCTACCCAATTTTATAATATTTCACAGATTATATTGTATATTTTCAATTCTTCCAGAGTGTGCTTATTCGCCTAGTGTGAATGGTCTGTGTTGGTCTTCGAGTCAACAATCATTTATTGAGCATCTACTATGTGCCAAGCATAATACTGGCATTGGGGACATGAGAACCAATGCTCTTCCACTCTCCCCGTGGTGGGTTTTGGTCTGATTTTAACTGGAAGTATTATTTGGATTTGTGTAGGCTCATTCAACATTGGATCATTAGTAACTCTTTGGATTTAGTGTAAATGGTCCTGCAAATGTGAGAAAATTAGTAACAAGAATTGAACTCTAACAAGGTGTTCAAATGCTGACTTTAAAGCCTTCACCTAGGCAGGTGTGGTGGCTCACACTTGTAATCCTAGCACTTTGGAAGGCTGAGGCGGGCAGGGCGCTTGAGGCCAGGAGTTCGAGACCAGCCTGGGCAAAATGATGAAACCCGTCTTTAAAAAAATACAAAAATTAGCCAGATATGGTGGCGCACAACTATAGTACCAGCTACATGGGAGGCTGAGGCGGGAGGATGGTTTGACCCTAAGTGGCGGAGGTTGCAGTGAGCCGAAATAGTGCCACTACACTCCAGCCTGGGTGACAGAGAAGGACACTGTCTCAAAAATAAATACATAAATAAAGCCTTTACCTGTGCATTTAGGATTTTTTGCACTGGCAGAGGACCCAATAACCTTTATCTATGTATCATCTGTCTGTCTGTCTATCTATCTAATCGATAGAGAAGGTCTCACTCTGTCACTCAGGGTGGTGCGATCATAGTTCACCGCAGCCTCCAACTCCTGCACTCAAGCGACCCTCCCGCCTCAGCCTCCTGAGTAGCTGAGACCACAGACACTGGCCACCACCCGCCTTGGCCTCCAAAAGTGCTGGGATTACAGGCGTTAACCACCCAGCCAAGAACCACTATTTAAATGTCGCCAAGTGTGGTTTAAAAAGTTTCCCAATTTTGAGGGGGGCAAGGGTTGAAAAACTATTAGGTACTATGTTCAGCACCGAAGTGACGAGATGATTCGTACCCTGAACCTTAGCATCACACAATATACCCAGGTCACATCTGCACATGTAGCCCCTGAATCTAAAATAAAAGTTGAAACTACAAAAAAAAAAAGTCTCCCAAATTTGTTATAAAAATGCCAAAGAAGGTTAATCTCGGGTAATCGAATTCCGTTTCCTGGTGTTTTCCTTTATTCTTTTTTTCTTCCAGCCGGCTCCACCTCCAGAGAGGCCCAACAGGGAGCTCGCGCGGTCGTTTGGTCTCGGCGGCCGTAGAAGCCGGGCGCACTGGACCGGAGCTGCCCCGCCGGGGTTGGGTCGTGGCTGCCAGGGCGCGTCGCCAGGAGGCCTCGCGGGCCGCCCTTCCGCTCTCCCGGGGCTGGGCGGCGCTGTCCGGCTCTTCCTGCCGCGCTCTGGCCACTCCCCCTCGCCCCTCGCTGGGCTTGGCCTTGGCGGCCGTGCTCTGCAGGCAGTGCCTCCCTCGGGCGTGGGTCTGCAGGTGCAACCCCGACTCCTCCCTGAGCCCCGCAAGGCAGTCCCAGGGTGCTCCCGGCGGGGCTGCCCGACTGACCCTTCCCTTGTTTTGTGTTGCAGGAGAGCCGGACAGGGCAGCGGCCGGCACTACCGCGCTGCGATTTGCGCAGAGCTGAAGAAGCCCCTGACCATTGAAGAGGTGGCCCCCGCCCCGTCGGGCCTCACGAGGTAGGGGGCTGGCTTATCCCCTTCTACCCTCCCCTTCTCCCCGCCACCACACACTCCCCGCAGGCTTCCTTCTTGAATCAAGTTCCCAGTTCTGAAGCGAGGGGGCGACCGAGAGAGTGGAGGGCAACTTCGTCCTGGGATAGCTAGGGGGCTGAAGCCCTTTCCAAGGTCTAAAGTGCTAAAGGAAGATTGTTCCCCCAAAACACGCCTATAGGCCTCTTTCTCAATGCTCAGAGCTGTTGCCTTAGAAACAGAGAATTCTGATTTGCACACGACTTTGTATGTGCAAGTTATTGGTTTAACACAGGTACATGGACCTCATCCTTTGCTTCCTTCCACCTCAGTGCCGGAATCGAATTATTCGGCCTCTGCCTCCCTGAAACCAGCCCGGTAACCTCCGTGTTTCCATGTGAACATACGCCTCTGGTATATTGCAGACATTTGGGATGGGGTTCGTTTAGGGATGTGGGCAGCTGGTCCACTGAAATGTGGACATCATTTTGGCCTTGCCTATTGACCACTCTAGTAACACAGTGTCATCTGGTGTGGAGATGAGAACCTCAGACAGCGTGAAGCAGATAGTGGGCCTCAGTGTTGGAGACCTTCAGGGAGAGGGAGAAAGGCAGCCATAGCCCTGAAGTGTTACCAGCATGGAGCCTGTTAACTAACATGGCTAACACGGATTATTTGAATGAGCACATGATGGCAGCCAATCTACTTCCTGGGATTCACATGCTGAACGACATTCATCCTCAAATCATCCTTAAATCTAGGTGGAGTGGCTGGAGAACACATGTGTGCCCTGTGCATGCCTGTCAATAACTGATGTGTCCTGCATGGAATGTGTCCAGGCTGAGGGCTAGGCTCCTTTGTTCTGTTATTTGTCCTAGACATTGCATTGTAAGGAATTAGCCCATGAGAGCTGTGACTATGTTTGTTTTACTCACTACTAAATCCCTTAAGTCTAAAATGGTTCCTGGCATGTGGCAGAGGCTTAAAAAATTGTTGAATGAATGAATTTTGTAGATAAAAATTTCTTCTCACCAATATGGCCACCTCTGTACAAACAAATCAATATCATCCCTTTGGTGTCTCAGCTTTCATTTCTTCCAGTAATTCCAACCCCTGTTGGGATGTGTTGGTTTATGACAGTGGTTGTCTAGCACAGCGGTCCGCAACCTTTTTGGCACCAGTTCTGTGGAAGACAGTTTTTCCATGGACTGATGGGGGTTGGAGGGGATGGTTTTGGAATGAAACTGTTCCACCGCAGATCCTCAGGCATTAGATTCTCATAAGGAGTGCGCAACCTGGATCCCTTGCCTGTGTAGTTCACAATACGGTTCGCACTTCTGTGAGAATCTGATGCCGCCACTGATCTGACGGGAGGCAGAGCTGGGCGGTATGCTTGCTTTGTCTGCTCACCTCTTGCTGTGCAGCTGGATTCCTGACAGCATACCGGTCTGTGGCCCCGGGGTTGGGAACCCCTGGTCTTGAGGCTTGTTAAAACAGAACGCTAGGCTTTGTCTTCAGAGCTTCTGATTCAGTAGGTCTGGGATGGGGCTTGATAATTTGAATTTCTTTTCTTTTTTTTTTTTTTTTTTGAGATAGGGTCTCACTCTGTCACTCAGGCTGGAGTGCAGTGGCATGATCATGGCTCACTGCAACCTTGACCTCCCAGGCTCAAGCAGTTCTCCCACCCCAGTCTCCCAAGTAGCTGAGACCACAGGCACATGCCACCATTCCTGGCTAATTTTTTAATTTTTATTTTTGTAGAGATGGTTGCCCAGGCTAGTCTCGAACTCCTGGGCTCAAGTGATTCTCCTGCTTTGGCCTCCTGAAGTGCTGGGATTACAGGCATGAGCCATTGTGCCTGGCCTGTGCCAGGTGATACTGATGCTGGTGGTCTGGGGCCACATTTTGAGAACCGTGGGCTTACAAGGCCTAGAGAAACTACTGGCTACACTGCTGTAGGTCTGCCTCAGCTATGGCACTATCACAAAACATAGAGGCTGGGGATCTGGGACTAGGGTAAAGGATTCCAGATTCCCCAAAGAGCTGATCATTTTACCCTTCTGTTTAAAACTCATTAATGACTTCCCATTGTTCCTAGTATGAAAATTAAGATCTTCAGTAAGGAGGCCGGATGCAGTGGCTCACGCCTGTAATCCCAGCACTTTGGGAGGCTGAGGCAGGCGGATCACGAGGTCAGGAGTTCAAGACCAGCCTGGCTAATATGGTGAAACCCTGTCTCTACTAAAAATACAAAAAAAATTAGCTGGGTGTGGTGGTGCATGCCTGTAATCCCAGCTATTTGGGAGGCTGAGGCAGGAGAATTGCTTGAACCGGGGAGGCAGAGGTTGCAGTGAGCTGAGATCATGCCACTGCACTCCACCCTGGGCAACAGTGTGAGAGTCCGTCTTAAAAAAAAAAAAATCCTCAGTAAGGCTTCAAACTCTCTTGTGTCCCCACTGTAGTGTCTTTGTACACGCCATTGCTTTTGTCTGTGCCAAGGCTTTTGCCTCCTATTTTGAATAGTTAACTCTCAGTTGTTAGTTCAAAGTGTTGCTTACTTAGGAATGCTTTTCCTGACTTCCCTAAGTGGTCAAATCCTTCCATTATGTGCTTTCATAGCACCATATATTTTTTATCATTAATGCTTGGTACTGGAGTTATAACTTAATATATGTATCTTCATTATTATCTGGTTAATATCTGTTTTCCCTCCTATACTTTAGCTTCATGAAGGCAGAGGCCTTGCCCATGAGTGTGTGCCAGCTGTTACTTTAGTACCTGGCATGTTGTTGTCATTCAGTAACTATTTTGGTATGATTGAATAAACATTGTCTCCGTGGATGTGTACTGTTCTGCTTTGCTGCTCTATTTCTTTTGTAGGTCAGAGTTGATGTCCATTTCTGTGGAGTTAACTTTGGTGATATTTTGATCTGCCGTGATCAATATCAGGAAAGGCCCCATCTTCCCTTCACACCTGGTGAGTATAGGGAGACCAAGTGACTGCTTCAGGAAAAAAAGATACAGGGAGTTTTCAGAATCATGCCCCTGGGCTCAGGCAGTGCTCTGTTGGTGTCTGCCTGCCATCGGTGATGTTTCAGTTATATGTGTCCATCTCACTGTGTATTGGGATCACTGGATTGTGAGCCCCATGAGGGCAAAGTCTATGCCTGTCTTGATCAACATTATATCCCCCAGCTTAGCATTGTACGTGGCTCTTAGTAGGTGCTCAATAAATACTCTAAAAATGAAGAAATGAACAAATGAATTTTCACCAGAATTATCATTGGTCCTAGCCATTCATTCCCTTTCCTTGCTGGATATTGCCCCAGTTTTGTTTCTTCACTGAAGGATCACAGACATCTGTTTGCAGCTAAAACTTTCAGCCTCACAGACACATTCCCAATAAAACCTAATGCCAGGCCGGGCATGGTGGCTCACGCCTGTAATCCTAGCACTTTGTGAGGCTGAGGCGGGCGGATTGCCTGAGCCTAGGAGTTCAAGACCAGCCTGGGCAACAATGGTGAAACCCTGTCTCTACCAAAATACAAAAATTAGCCGGACGTGGCGGTGTGCGCCTGTAGTCCCAGCTACTCGGGAGGCTGAGGCAGGAAAATTGCTTGAACCTAGAAGGCGGAGGTTGCAGTGAGCCAAGATCATGCCACTGCACTCCAGCCTGGGCAACAGAGTGAGACTCCGTCTCAAAAACAAAACAAACAAACAAACAAACAAAACCTAATGCCAAAGGATCAGAGAGAAGAAGAGTGTGGATTTCTTAGCAGCCCTCTGCCTGATTTTTGTTCCCAGTCTACCCCTAGATCCTGCACATGTGGACAAGTGACTGATTTTTGTTGTTGAAATTTATTTAAAGGGATGTAAGTATAGCTTAGCATGTATATAGTACATGTACATTTTATACAGATATATATCATGAAAGATAGAGTGATTGCAAATAGTTACCGTGTTTTGTTTTCAGGGTGTTTGATTGTATCTCGACAGTTAGAACCATTTCCTTCTGTTTATATTTGCTGAAATACTGGTTGGGGGGAAGATGTCATACACAATTGAGTTATTCCCCTGGCAGCTCAAGTAGGAAACATCATCATTAATTCAGAAATTTCAGAGGTGAAAAAGGAAAGGGCAGACAGCACCAGTTCATCCAGTTGAGCCAAGTACTGTCTGAATAAACACAGTTCATGTCCTTGAGGGCCCTACAGGCCAGCAGAAGAGACTTGAAAACAGATAAATAAATAGGATGAACATTGTCACTGGGGTGCTATAGGAGGTCCCAGTGATTAGGGTCAAAAGTACCTGTGTACCTGTGATTCTCTGTGCTTTTGCACATTCTTGAAATTTTCATTTGTGTCATGGTAAGATTGAGACTGCTATAGCTTCCCAGGTTGTGATGGTGAAATCTTATGTTTACTTTCCTGTGCTTTGAGTATAACACCTTACCTCTCTACCTGCATATGGAGAGGAGGAGGGGCACCTAAATCCTCAGCTCCGAAAGCTGTTGGAATAGCCTGTCGATCAGTGTTTTCTCATCTCCATGGTGTTGTGTTTTACAGATAACCTAATCTTTAAACAATATGTTTTTAGGAATGGACTTTTCT